>NC_000009.12:37737272-37888787 GCF_000001405.40 Homo sapiens | reverse complement strand
AAAAAGGAAAATCTCCTGGACTCCCAAAAGGATCTCAGGGACTTCCAGGGGTCTTCTGAAAATGCTTTAAGAATCACTGATCTAGTCTGAAAAGGAAAGTGTGGTGTCCAGATATTAGAGGATGGATTAGGGAGAAAGCCCATGTGTTTAGCTCTCTATAAAACGGGTTTACCCGTTGTCATTTATTATTTGTAGGTTAAAAAAAGTCCTTCATGAAAAAGAAAGATCTTAAGCAGCATGATGGATTCAGAAGCTCATGAAAAGAGGCCACCAATACTAACATCTTCAAAACAAGATATATCACCTCATATTACAAATGTTGGTGAGATGAAGCATTACTTGTGTGGCTGCTGTGCAGCCTTCAACAATGTCGCAATCACATTTCCCATTCAGAAGGTCCTCTTTCGACAACAGCTGTATGGCATCAAAACCCGGGATGCAATACTTCAGTTGAGAAGGGATGGATTTCGAAATTTGTATCGTGGAATCCTTCCCCCATTGATGCAGAAGACAACTACGCTTGCACTTATGTTTGGTCTGTATGAGGATTTATCCTGCCTTCTCCACAAGCATGTCAGTGCTCCAGAGTTTGCAACCAGTGGCGTGGCGGCAGTGCTTGCAGGGACAACAGAAGCAATTTTCACTCCACTGGAAAGAGTTCAGACATTGCTTCAAGACCACAAGCATCATGACAAATTTACCAACACTTACCAGGCTTTCAAGGCACTGAAATGTCATGGAATTGGAGAGTATTATCGAGGCTTGGTGCCCATTCTTTTCCGGAATGGACTCAGCAATGTCTTGTTTTTCGGCCTTCGAGGTCCCATTAAGGAGCATCTGCCTACCGCAACGACTCACAGTGCTCATCTGGTCAATGATTTTATCTGTGGAGGTCTATTGGGTGCCATGTTGGGATTCTTGTTTTTTCCAATTAATGTTGTAAAAACTCGCATACAGTCTCAGATTGGTGGGGAATTTCAGTCTTTCCCCAAGGTTTTCCAAAAAATCTGGCTGGAACGGGACAGAAAACTGATAAATCTTTTCAGAGGTGCCCATCTGAATTACCATCGGTCCCTCATCTCTTGGGGCATAATCAATGCAACTTATGAGTTCTTGTTAAAGGTTATATGAAAAAACCATCAGTTAAGTGCCATTTATCAACTGAATAGACCTTCTAAGAAGAATGCAGTTTGGCCTCTTTTTTTTTTTTTTTTAAAGGAAATCCCAATCTTATTATGGAAAGCCATCAACTGGGTGTGGGGAGTAGGTCAGAGGGTTAGTGAAAGTCCAGGGGATTTCTCCTCCAAGTCCTACCACACAAAGGAAAGTCTCAAGCCTCTATTCACCCCTTCTCAATCCTCACAAAATAGGGGGTTGTTCAATATTGTCTTCAATGATAAAAACTTTGTGGTTAAAAGTTTCTCCTTAGGACTAGTGACAAAGTTAGGCTTATACTTTTTTTTTTTTTTTTGAGGCAGAGTCTTGCTCTGTTGCCCAGGCTGGAGTGCAGTGGCACGATCTTGGCTCACTGCAACCTCCGCCTCCAGGGTTCAAGCAATTCTCCTGCCTTAGCCTCCTAAGTAGCTGGGATTACAGGCGCCCGCCACCACGCCCAGCTAATTGTTTTGTATTTTTAGTAGAGACGGGGTTTCACCATGTTGGTCAGGCTGGTCTCGAACCCCTGACCTCGTGATCCACCCGCCTCGGCCTCCCAAAGTGCTGGGATTATAGGCGTGAGCCACTGTGCCCGGCTACGCCCAGCTAATTTTTTTTTTTTTTTGTATTTTTAGTAGAGATGGGGTTTCATCGTGTTAGCCAGGATGGTCTCGATCTCCTGACCTCGTGATCCACCCGCCTCGGCCTCCCAAAGTGCTGGGATTACAGGTGTGAGCCACCGCGCCCAGCCAGGCTTATACTTTTAATGAAGACCATAAACCAAGCCAGAAGGGCTTAAGGAAGCAAGAGTCCTTGGGGGAAAATTCTTAGCGTTCTATACCCCAGCATCTTACCTTAGGGTTAAATCTAGGTCTAACCAGGCTGTGCAGGTTGACTAAGAAGGAATAATGAAACGACAGAGTTTCATGGAGAAACCATGGAGATGTCTGAATAGCTGATAAGCAGTTAACACACTGACCCAAGCTTGGAGGGAAACCATTTCCCCCTCCATCCTGTGAGATCTCTTTCTTGCTCCAGTGCAACAGTTGGCCACAGCATGGCAGGCCTTCCTGTAGGGTGCCTGACAATTCCCTAGATGCCTCTTTAAAATCAGAAGCTGCGCACTGCCCCACCCAGTCACAGCCAAAGGGAAAACATAAATAAAAGGCTGTAGTCTCAGGCTTGTGGTTATGGAAAGAGCCTGGAATTGACAGGAGAGGAAGCACTGCCAAAGTGAGGATCTTATTTATCCTTCTTGCTTTCCCCATCTGACACTGTGGTGGGGGTTGAAGCCACAGGCTGCTCCTCAGGGATATTGTCTCCAGCCTTTGATAGCTTCTTGGCCCGCTGGTATAGCTCATTTAAGTTAAATTCTCGGATCACATTCTCCTCAGAGAAGGTCCATGAGACAGCCCGTCCTTTCTTGTCAGTCTGTGGCTGCCGCATTACCTTCTTGCCACCTTGGAACAGGATCAGGGTAGGGAGTTGATTGGTGAGGGGTGATGTGCTCACTTTGTACCGCGTACTAACATCAGTATAGCGTCCAGCATCCACCGTCCCAAAATTTAGCCCTGTACAGTTGTACTTAAGGGAGAGGTCAGCATAGATAGGGGCAAATGATTGGCAGTCATTAGACCAATTGGCAAAGAACTCCACAATCCAAGTGACCCTGTTGTCCCGTTCTAGTTCCTCATCAATGGTTTTATCATTGAAGTACTTGATATACTCAGGGCCCATATATGGGGAGGGGGGGGTTTGCACGTCATCAGGAACACTATGCAGAGTGTGATGTAAAGTAGGCCCATGCGAATATCCAAGCGGAAGAAAAGAATTGCGTTGGCCACTTTACTAAACATGAAAATGTTGCCTATATGTTGCTCCACAGTGATGGATCTGCGGTTCTTCATCATCACAATGGCACTGAGAAACATCAGGATCTCCGCTTCTCTCTCCGGTTTCGGGCAACTCCTTTGGGGTTCCGAGTCTTCTCTGAGGCCCACGTTGGGCGCCGTATTATTGTTGCCAAAAAGAGTGAAACTCACAGTGAAACCCCATCTCTACTAAAAATACAAAAAATTAGCCAGGCGTGGTGGCGGGCGCCTGTAGTCCTAGCTACTCGGGAGGCTGAGGCAGGAGAATCTCTTTCTTAATTGGCCAAATATAAGTTGGTGTCGTAACTCCAGGCCACAGTGAGTTATGGGCAAAGCTTTTTTCCTTAAGCATCAACAAAATAGGATAAAAGGTTCCAATAGGAAAATACAAGGTTTTTTTTTTTTTTTTTTTTTTTTTTATCATTACCTAAGAGCTTTAGGCTAATTGCCTGGTAAATAGCTGTCCATCTGATGGCCTTTGACAGGGAACCTAATCCCCAAGATAGGATTCTTTTTCTTAAACCAATCTTGAAATCGCCTGCATTGAAACATAAGTGGCTGTGACCGGCCAGAGGAGAAGGTCCTCAGGGGCCAGGGGCTCCTCAGGCTTCCTTTGTTACTCCATTGCTTGCTTCTCTGCCCTCAGGAGCAGCTGCAGAGGACAGTCTTCATTAAGCTCAAGCATATGACAAAGGGGCAGAACAGAAAAGAAAAACAGCTTATTAGGTATAGGCTTTTCATGATAAATTGCTTGTATTAGTTTTGAAACTAAGCACCTATTGGATAGGCATTATACTATTTCTATTTAGATATGGTAGATCAAGGAGCTATGAAAGTTCCTGTTTTGCTTTCTAGGTTTGAAAGTTTTCTGTTTGATTCTGACTGTGATCTTCAACCCTTCCAAAATGTCCTTGTGTTATAATTTCACTTATTTCATTGCCAAAAGATGAAGGGACTTGAATCTTGTTATAGTTGTTCCATCCTGTTAACAAGTTTTCATTTTGTGTGTGGATCAAATTCTGGTTAGCTTGGTTTCTTTGAATTACTGGTGCCATCTCAGCAAAGGCCTGTGGTTATTTTTCCCCTTGAGTGGGAGTTGGTCATATTCAAGCATCCTGTTCTCTTAAAACTCTCCTTTTAAAAAATAAACACTTCCATAACATTTTGTTTTGGAAGTCTATTAATGCAATCCCACTTTTTTCCCCCTAGTTTCTAAATGTTAAAGAGAGGGGAAAAAAGGCTCAGGATAGTTTTCACCTCACAGTGTTAGCTGTCTTTTATTTTACTCTTGGAAATAGAGACTCCATTAGGGTTTTGACATTTTGGGAACCCAGTTTTACCATTGTGTCAGTAAAACAATAAGATAGTTTGAGAGCATATGATCTAAATAAAGACATTTGAAGGGTTAGTTTGAATTCTAAAAGTAGGTAATAGCCAAATAGCATTCTCATCCCTTAACAGACAAAAACTTATTTGTCAAAAGAATTAGAAAAGGTGAAAATATTTTTTCCAGATGAAACTTGTGCCACTTCCAATTGACTAATGAAATACAAGAGACAGACTGAAAAAGTGGATTATGCATCTTAAAACCCTTTCTGTAAATATTATGTAGCTAAAGATTGATTTCCAGCATCTGACATGACAGTAGGTTTCTTGTTAACCAGTTTTTCTTCTTTCTGGATAATTGCATATGAATATTTATACATACTGACCAAAATAAAGGCCTCAACTTGGTAGTTTACTGAAAGTTCTTGGACAAATAGTCCATAAAAGCTGTTGACCTCTAAATGCACTATGGCTGGTTAAATACAGTGACCATCCTTCTTCCAGCTGTAAAGGATGAAGCGTATTAAGCATTAGCCAGGCAGTAATAAAGCTAAATAGCCATACAGCAGCTCTGACAATGTTGTGCTGGATATTGCAGTTTGCTTTCAAGGTGCAGATGTAAGGATTTAAAAAAATAATAATTTGGCACCAAATAAATATGAGTAGCATCCATTGGCCTATTAAATCGAGTCAGGATTTGAAGGGAATTGAGTTTGAGAAATGAATAAATAAAGGCACCTTGGTGCCTGACCCCCTCAATCATGCGTGTGACTTTGAGCACTCACAGGTGTGTGCAGCTACTCAGCCCAGGGCAGGTGGGTTAGCCTGGGGTTATACCTTGGCCCTGGGAATAGACACCATTGGGCCTTTGGTTTTGTTGGGCTTCCTTTTGTCTTTACACTCCACACAGGTGGTAGAAATCTGAGTTCTAAAGCACTTTTGTGAAATACAAGCTAAGTGAGAATTCTAAAGAAAATGCTTTGGTTTCTGCTGTCTCAAATAAGTGGCATTTAAAAACAATTATTAATAAATATTTTTAATGGTTTTAACTCAGTATTTTTTTTTATTTCTTTGTCACTCTTTACAGCTTTTGAAGACCAAACTGCAAATACATTACCAGGGATGGTTTTGTGTTGTCCTATAGACTTCTTAAATTTGACAAAAAATTTAGCAGAACTTGTAACCAACAGCTTTGTCTGAACTTGAAGTCAAAATGTGTTGTTAATAAGAGATTCTAACTATTGCTTTTACCTTCAGTGTGAACTAGTGTGGTAACAACTTTGAAAAGGCAGGCCGGGTGCGGTGGCTCACGCCTGTAATCCCAGCACTTTGGGAGGCCAAGGCGGGTGGATCACTTGAGGTCAGAAGTTTGAGACCAGCCTGGCCAACATGGCGAAACCCCATCTCTACTAAAAATACAAAAAACTAGCCGGGTATGGTGGCACATGCCTGTGATCCCGGCTACCCAGGAGGCTGAGGCAGGAGAATCGCTTGAACCTGGGAGGCGGAGGTTGCAGTGAGCCGAGATTGCGCCACTGCACTCCAGCCTGGGCAACAGAGTGAAACTCTGTCTCAAAAAAAAAAATTGAAAAGGCAAATGTGATTGAATATCTGAAAAGCTTTAAAAGTGGCCTTTCTGTTACGTCTGTGGCACAAATGGCTCATGAGCGCAGGACACTTATGGTCTTGTGTCCTATACTTCATGTGTGATGCCACCAGAAATGTTATGGATTCCGTATTGAACACACTGAGAGTGGTATGAGCCCTCAGGACTGCACCACAGAGTAAACACAACCTTGATATGGTGGCGAATATGTGTGTCTTTCTTGTTTCATTTGTGGTTGGGGACAAAATCGATGTATTTGTCTAAATAGTCGATATTCATCTTAACATGGTTGGTTGTGTAATCACCAGCTATATTGTGAACTGTGCAATAAAACAGAAGCGTTTGTGTATATAATTACCTTTGGATACCTGAAATTCCCAAGCTTGGTTACAATGTAATGCTCAGTATAAGGCTGTGCAAACATGTAAGGGAATAATGGTGGTCGATGGGATATATGAAATGGGATCTAGAGGGCTTCGAGTGAAGCCAATCATGTTGAACGAACACTGGTTCAGTGTAGATGAAGTAGAGTGAGGCGTATGCAGTCATAAAATGAAGGGTGGACAGGAGATTACATTTGAAGAAAGGATAAGCACTCAGACTTGGTCTCTTTTAAATTAAAATATTTCTTTTCTCATGTGCAAATGTATATCAAAGACTTGAACAGGTATTCTCTTGAAATTTGAGGATTTTTAGTTTTTAATGCTGTCTTTGCTTAATATTAAATATGTGTTGCCTATTGGCTCCCAAATTGTGTGGGAGTCTCTAAATGTTTCCTCTTGAAGGTTCATTATTGAAAGTGGTTAAGTGCACAATGCTATTTTTGTTTGATAGTTTGAGTTTTATGACCCTATGAGTTTAAATGAAATCTGTTAAATGTTTCAGAGTTAACACTTTTTTTTTGATAATTTGGAATAAAGTTTGTTTTTTAAGCCCACTCTTTTTGGTCTTCTCTTATGCTTGAGTAGTTGCTTGTTACTGGCACGTTCCTTTTTTGTGGTAGTGATAGATTGATCTGTTAGTCTTTTTATTCAGAAAACATTTAGCACACTACCTTGACTTTTAGCAACTTAACCTGGGGATGTTGCAGGTAAAACATTCCTTTGTCTATCCATCTTATTTCGTCAAGAGGGGTTTCATATAAGTTTTATTTTCCAGGTAGTTTAACTGCAAAGCTTTTTGTTTGTTTGTTTGACAGGGTTTCTATTGCCTGGGCTGGAGTGTAGTGGCATGATCATGGCTCACTATAGCCTTGACTTCCTGGGCTCAAGCGATCCTTCCGCCTCAGCCTCCTGAGTAGCTGGGACTACAGGTACGTGCCACCAAGCCCAGCTAATTTTTGTAGAGATTTTCATCATGTTGCCCAGGCTGGTCTTGAACTCCTGGGCTCGAGCAATCTGCCCACCTTGGCCTCCCAAAAGTCTGGGATTACAGGCGTGAGCTACTGTGCCTGGCCACATTTTATTTCTTAAAGGTCTTCCTCATATTTAATACACTTCTCTACTGAGTTTAAACTTTCTTGGTTTAGCTTATCAGTACTTTCTGTTGTAATAGAGTAGCCTCATGCAATGTTTACTCCCAAGTTACATGGTCTGGATGTTTGTGCTTTTCATTTTTTTTTTTTTTTTATATCTACTTTTGCCTTCAGAGCTGCTCCTTTCTGTTGTAGCTCATTGGTTAGGAGAGTGTGAAGTTTTAGCCACATTGTGAATTTGCATGTTAAGTTTTAGGTTGTTTCCTGGCTTTAGAGATCATTGAGGTTGCCTGATAAGGACAGCAAGGTAAAGGAGCAGTTGCTTCTAAAAGTCCTGTTTTGGATTGAAATCCATCATAAAGAATAAGTGTAATATCCTGAACTTGTACATTTAGATTTGATAAAAAGGGTGTTTAATCATCATCTGATGAAATCTTTTAACCCACCCATAGCAGCCACTGTAGAGTTCTAGACCTCCAGAGTGAGGAGTAGGTGTGACCAGGAACAGCCCTGGGGGATCTCTGCATAGCTACAGAGCACTCCCAATCCCCAAGAGACTGGTTCCCATCTTAAATCTTTTTATTTATTTATTTACTTTTTTATTTAGAGACGGGGTTTCGCTCTTGTGACCAGGCTGGAATGCAATGGCGTGATCTCGGCTCACCGCAACCTCCGACCTCTGGGTTCAAGTGATTCTCCTGCCTCCGCCTCCCAAGTAGCTGGGATTACAGGCATGCGCCACCACGCCTGGCTAATTTTGTATTTTTAGTAGAGATGGGGTTTCTCCATGTTGGTCAGGCTGGTCTCAAACTCCTAACCTCAGGTGATCTGCCCACCTCGGCCTCCCAAAGTGCTGGGATTATAGGCGTGAGCCACCGCGCCGGCTGCCTTAAATCTATTTATCTGACGTTCCCAACTAGGAAATTTTTTGTCCAAATGAGTATATGTGATTTTAAAGTAGAAATCGAAGGTAAAATAGGATTTATCTCAGTTCCTATCTCCCTTCAATCTATTCTTCATATTGTCAATAATTTTTTTTTTTTTTTTTGAGACGTGGTCTCTGTCGCCAGGCTGGAGTGCAGTGGTGAAATCTTGGCTCACTGCACCCTCTGCCTCCTGTGTTCAGGCGACTCTCCTGCCTCAGCCTCCGGAGTAGCTGGGATTGCAGGCATCCGCCATCACACCCGGCTAAATTTCGTATTTTTTCAGTAGAGACAGTTTTGCGCCAGGCTGGTCTCAAACTCCTGACCTTAAGTGATCCACCTGCCTCAGCCTCCCAAAGTGCTGGGATTACAGGCGTGAGCCGCCGTGCCCGGCCATCAGTAATTTTTTAAAATGTCACTTCAATAAATGCTTTTCCTCTGCCATAAAGACCAAACATCTTGCTGTGGCCTACAGGAGACAGGATGATCCAGCCCTTGCCTCCCTTACTCTCATCTCTAGCTAAAACTGCGCTGCTGTCTCTGCACTCCAGCCACTGGCACTTCCTGATTACTTGGGGCACGCTGTACTCATCTTGCTCCCAGCCTCTGCCCATGCAGGTGCCCTCTGCCCTCAGCACTGCCTTTCTCTACTTCATTTATAGACTGCTGTCCTTCAGATCTCGGTTGAAGTGTCACTTCCTTGGGGAAGCTGGCTTACACTCTCAGGACTCGGTTAGGTTCCCCCGTCAGGCTCTTCTATGTCACCATGTTTCTATTTTTCACAGCACTTAACCTGTTTTAATTACGTTGCAAATAGTTTTTGTTTGGGTCTAGAGAAGCATGTATTCACTAGTACATTTTATTTGTGTTCTCTAATTATTTTTTCTGCAGCTAAATTAGAAATTTGTAGTTTTCCCCCTAAAAATGCAATGATGTTTTCTCTGATTTTCTTGTCACCTTTCTTCCAAAAAATCCATGTGTTCAAAGTGCTTGCTTGCAGTTTGCCCCATAATAAATGGTTGTTTAATCCAAATATCTGAGTAGCAAACTGAGCTGATCCTTCTGGAGAAAGTATGGTTGAATAGCCGAGACCACTGAGTAGTCGCAGAGAAGACCACACATCCTGAACTCCTCAGTCTGGTGTGAGGGGAGGACAATAGATAACTGGATGTGTAGTGTTCCCAAACATCACTGATCCCAAACCATTGCTTCTGCCTGCCACTGCCACAAATACAGTACGACTGCCACCCCTTCATACTCAGCTTTAATCCTCAGCATTTCTTCTGGTCCTTTATGTGCAGATGTTACTCAAAGTCTACATGGAATGCCAAAATTTCCACAGGCCTTGATTTTTTTCACGGTGATTAAGATCAGAAGTAGAACCCATCAATACTATAACACTGCACTGACTTTCTGATTTCAAAAGCAACTCTACTCTCTACAACCCACGCAAAGTTTTTCCTTACCATTTGGAACCCTTCAGGAGTTACACTGAAGCCTTGATAAGACTGTTTCAGCCAGGAGTGGTGGCTCACGCCTGTAATCCCAGCACTTTGGGAGGCTAAGGCAGGAGGATTGCTTGAGTCTGGGCAACATGGCAAGACTGGCTCTATTTTTTTAAAATAACATTTTTAAAAGTATGATTAAAAGACTGTCTTTCTATTGGCTTTGCTCCCCCGATGGTGAGTGTCTCTAGGAGTCATTATCAATAACATCAGTGAGAATTTCTTTGCTGGTCACATGAACACCAAATTCAATCTTCATATCAACCGGTGTACAGTTCTGGGAGCAACCGGGATTTCTCCGGGATTTCAAAAACAGCCTATGTGGCATGACTCATGATATCCACTTCAGTTTTATACCAAGTGCAGCAAAGCCAAATTTTGCTGCAATTAGCTGTTGCCTAGACCACTGTGGGTCATGATTGGCATCATCCTTGAAAAACATCTCCACTTTAGGTGGGCAAAACTCACATCCTTCCTTGACACCAGGATTTCTTTCGAGTGAAGAACCAGTTGGTATTCTTCTGCAAACCATTCAGTTGGAATTATTTCACACTGGGGCACAATGAAAGCTGTCTCCTCACATTTTCTGGTGAAAGCAGTTTTAATACCTGCTTCCTGTAACAACAGAAAAATGCAACTGGTAATTTTATTTGAGATTGCAGCTTTTCCTTCCAGGTGATTCTGACTGCATTTCCTGCTGTAATCTGGTCCTTAGATTGCAGGACTTTTCCTGGCCTATCTAACAAGCAATTCATAGACCTCTTTTGTTTTACCCTCACATAGTTTTTTAGCAATGTTCAGTACCTCAGCTCTCACTATTATCCTGAGTGGGATGAAAGTTGCACCCATGCTGAGAGGCAGAAATCTCTGTTGTGAATATTTGATACCTCTTGCTTTATTTATTTATTTATTTATTTATTGACACAGATTCTCACTCTGTCACCTAGGCTGGAGTGCATTGGCGCAATCTTGGCCCACTGCAGCCTCAGCCTCCCAGGCTCAAGCGATCCTCCCATCTCAGCATTGCCAGTAGCTGGGACCACAGGTGTGTGCCACCATTCCCAGCTAAATTTTGTATTTTTTGTAGAGACAGGGTTTCACCATGTTGCCTAGGCTGGTCTCAAACTTCTGAGCTCAAGTGATCCACCCACCTCAGCCTCCCAAAGTGCTGGGATTACAGGCATGAGCCACCATGCCTGGCCCTGTTGCCTCTTTAAAAAGCCAGTCCTGGCAGGGCACAGTGGCTCACGCCTGCAATCTCAGCATTTTGGGTGGCCAAGGCAGGAGGATCTATTGAGTCCAGGAGTTTGAGAGTTCAAGTCCAGCCTAGGCAATATAGTAAGACCTTGTCTCAAAAAAAAAAAAAAAAAAAAAACAACCAAGAATCAAGAATGATGGGACACATGGATATTCAGTATCACAGCATTCTGGAATATCCTATGAAATGACCGAATGAAGGTCAGCCTTCATTTGTTAATGGGTCATGGAGGTCATTTAAGGAAAAGGTAATTTTTACATTGATCTCAAAGTACTGAATTGTTTTAGCTTGGGCTGCCATAACAAAGTACCATAGACTGGATGACTTAAATCAGGGTTCCCCAACGCCTGGGCCACGGACAGGTACCCATCTGTTTGGAGCCAGGCTGCACAGAAGGAGGTGAGCAGTGGGTAAGTGAGCATTACTACCTGAGCTCTGCCTCCTGTCAGATCAGTGGCAGCATTAGATTCTCATTGGAATGCAAACCCTACTGTGAACTGCAAATGCAAGGGATCTAGATTGTGCACTCCTTATGAAAATCTAATGCCTGATGATCTGAGGTGGAACAGTTTCATCCCCAAACCATTGTGTCGCTCCACCTATCTGTGGAAAAATTGTCTTCCATAAAACCAGTCCCTGGTGCCAAAAAGGTTGGGGACCACTGGCTTAAACAACATTTATTTCTCATGGTTCTGGAGGTTGGGAAGTCCAAGATCAAGGAGCCAGCAGATTTGGTTCCTGGTGAGGGCCCTCTCCCTGGTTTGCAGAGGGCTGTCCTCTTGCTATACCCTCACATAATGGAGAGAAAGTTCTAATCTCAGCCCTTTATAAGTAATTATAAATTAGTTATCTTTATAAGATTACTAATCCCATCATGGGCACCTCTCTCATGACCTCATCTAACCCTAATTACCACCCAAAGCCCTCACCTCCAAATACTATCACATTGGAAGTTAGGGCTTCAATATATGAATTCAGTCCACAACATTAGCTGCATGATTGATGAGACTGTTCTTTATTCTCCTTTAGTTTCCAAACACTGCCAGCGATCCTTTACTCTGAGAAATGTCTAGCCAATTTGAGATAAAACACTTGTGCATGAGTCAGGATTCAGAGGTACAGGCACTCCATTTTTCTTATCCCTCCTGGCACTGTTTCTGAATTGTGGAGCTCAATTGAATGAAATTGACTAGGAAGAGCAAGAAGAAAGTATTCTTTAGAATAGTTTGTCATGGAGCACTGCTTTGTTACTGTTAGAAGCACCATTAAGGCAGTGACTTGTTTACATTGTTTTAGGGCAGCTCACCTCTACAGCTGCTCTACCTTTCATGATCAACAGAAATAAAACAAACTCAGTTCAGGCCCTCTTTATTAAGCAATTACTTCCTTCTGATGTACACTAAAAAATGCATTTAGTTACACTGAGATGCTCTCTTGTTTCAGACAATACGAAGAAAAATAAACTATTTCTCTTTCAAGGGTCATCATATCTATAATGGGTGGTTTATAGTAAGTAGCTTTCTTGTTTCCTTGGGCAAAAGAAGCTTCAGAATTTTCCTTAGCCCTCTCAGTTTTCTGGGGAAAGTGTGGCTAAACAAATTTCCAGGTTTTCTCGGGCTTTACCTCCTCATTAAATAACAGTGATAGAGTTCTGAGAAGGACCAAGGTAGGAAAAAGTGGGTACAGGTGGAAACTGAGGATCTTTCATTTGTAATCTGTGTGTAAAATATGGAAGTAAAGAGTAAAAAAAATTAGGAGATGAGGGCCTCAGTTTGAAGATACAATTGATTTGGTTTTGGTTTTTGGTAGAGATGAGGTCTTGCTATGTTGGCCTAGGCTGGTCACAAACTCCTGGCCTCAAATGATCCTCCCGCCTCAGCCTCCCAAAGTGCTGGGATTATAGGCATGAGCCACCATGCCCAACCAGCAACAGTTTTATATACCTTGAGAAGGTTAAAGGGAAGTCCAAGAAGATTAAAGTTTTGCTGTTGCTATCTAGAGCTCTTGAAAGCTTCTGCCACTTGTGATCCAAGAACAGGAATGCATGTTATTTGTGTTTGGGAGCAATAACACATCTATTTGAGTCTATTTCAACTCGAACTAGAGGAAAACAGAATCCCCAATAATTTCAGTTTGTGCCTTTTACAGTTTTTCCTCATTTATTTTATTTAGCGAGTTTGTGTTACACCTACTCAGTGTTGTAAAACTGCCATTTCAGGACAAATCATTTTGAGTTAAGAGGTTCTAGACTTTTATGGAAAATAAAGAGCACTGGCTGCCCGAGACAAGTTCCAAAGTGAAAATGTAAATGTCTCTTGATTTCTCCATCGCCTCCCAGGCTGGATTAGGCCCCTTCTGTGCCAAGTGATAACTGTTTCTTGCCTGTCTCTAACTGCATGTTTGTACTTTATCTGCCAGGACAATGTGATCTCCTCGAGGGCAGGGTCTGTCTTTCAGATTTCTATATCCACAGATTAGAGGTTCTCATAATAAATACATTTAATGAAGTAATCAATCTGATCTCTGATATTTTCTTTATCAATTATTCTCCTTGTTTCGGAAACCCTTTTAATTTCTTAAGAATTTCTTTTAGAAATCATCAAGAGGAATACATAATGGATAATTTCACTTACGTGAAGTTCTAGAAGAGGAAAATCTGTAGCAGAAACAAACAAACAAACAAACAGTGTTTCCCTCTGGGAGGATGGGGGCAGAGGTTCACCTGGAAGAGGCAGGAGAGAACTTGCTGGGATGGTGGTAGTACTCTATATGTTGACAGATGTTTGGGTTACACAGGTGTATACATTTATATAAATTTAAGTAATGTAGAGTTAATCTGTGTACTTCATTCTATGTAAATTTTACAACAAAAGAAAAAAACAAATGTTAAACTCTAGTCATGTGAGGACTTTTAGAAGGATGGGTACAGATGTCAGCAATTTAAAATGCATCAAAAATTAAGATGGATTAGGCTGGGTGCAGTGGCTCACACCTGTAAATCCCAGCACTTGGGGAGGCTGAGACAGGTGGATCACCTGAGGTCAGGAGTTCAAGACCAGCCTGGCCAACATGGTGAAACCCCATCTCTACTAAAAATACAAAAATTAGCCAGGCGTGATGGTGGGTGCCTGTAACCCCAGCTACTTGGGAGGCTGAATCAGGAGAATCACTTGAACCTGGGAGACGGAGGTTGCAGTAAGCCGAGATTGCACCACTGCACTCCAGCCTGGGCGACGCAGAGAGACTCCGTCTCAAAAAAATAAATAAAACAAGATGGACTGATGGACAGAGTTAGTTAAGGGATAAAACAAGTAAAATATTAATGGTAAAACCTTGGTAAACAGTGTTCACTGTAAAGTTCTTTTAACTTTGCTGTTTGGACATTTTCATAATAAAATGTTGGGAAAAACCATTAGGGGGTTTATCATTATTGCTGAATAATTGAGAAACTCAGTTTAGCTCTTTTAGTATGCTATTCTTAGATTGCTATGAAGTTATAAGATACCACTGAAATACTTGCTAGAAGGGAACACAAGCCTGTGGCCTAGAAATTTACTTGTCTTCCCCACTAATGATGATAATATGGCAGTTCCCTCCCACTGAGGTCTGGACTATCCCCTCCTGAATGTGACAGGGCTGGTGGCTAAAACAGAGGCCAATCTTTCAAACATTCTTTCCTGCTGGGCGCAGTGGCTCACGCCTGTAATCCCAGCACTTTGGGAGGCCGAGGCGGATGGATCACGAGGTCAGGAGATCAAGACCATCCTGGCTAATACGGTGAAACCCCGTCTCTACTAAAAATAGAAAAAAATTAGCCGGGCGTGGTGGCAGGTGCCTGTAGTCCCAGCTACTTTGGAGGCTGAGGCAGGAGAATGGCTTGAACCTGGGAGGCAGAGCTTGCAGTGAGCCAAGATCACACCACTACTCTCCAGCCTGGGCGACAGAGCGAGACTCCGTCTCAAAACAAACAAACAACAACAACGAAAAAGCATTCTTTCCTAAGACTGCCCAGCAATAAGGGGTCTACCCACCTCCTGACTAGCAGGGACCAGGCTACTAGGAAAATTATGATTTTCCTGCAATACACTGCAACTTTAAATAAACGCCAGGAAATCTTTCTTTTAATTACATACATTTATTAAGTATGCAAGAAAAAAACTATTTAAGAATAAATGCAATGTGTTTAGAACAAATCTGATGCTCTGTATTTTAACTTTTAAAAAGTAACCATTTCACAATTAAATTTGGATCCTTCATTTTACCCCAACAAAAACTAACCTTTTATAGAGAAGAACTTTAACAAGTAATGTCAACAAAGCATTCTAAAGTACTCATAATTTAAACAACTTGCAAGGAGACAACTGTTTTTTTTGAGACAGGGTCTGGCTTGCAGTGGTGCAGTCTCGGCTCACTGCAACCTCTACCTCCCAGGTTCAAGTGATTCTCCTGCCTCAGCCTCCTGAGTAGCTGGGACTACAGGCATGTACTACCACGCCCAGCTAGTTTTTTGTATCTTTAGTAGAGACAGGGTTTTGCCATGTTGGCCAGGCTGGTCTCGAACTCCTGACCTCAGGTGATCTGCCTGCCTCAGCCTCCCAAAGTCCTGGGATTATAGGCGTGAGCTACCTCACCCGGCTCCCTGGAAATAACTTTTTTTAAAACACTTTTTAAGGCTAAAAAGTATTTTGAGTTGTGTATGCTCTGGTTAAAGTTTCAGTTGTTCCTTTTCTGGATTTATTGCTATTGTTAGCAACAGTTGCAGCTATTTACAGCTTATACCAGGGAGTGTATATTTCTGTAGCTGCTCTCTCATTTTGAGTTAAAAGATAAGCTACACAGCACCAGGTCTGTTCCTGAGAAGGTAAGATCATCTTAGCTTACTTAACTGCCCAGTAATGTAAATATCATGTTTTTGTTTTATTGTTTTGTTTTTTGAGACAGAGTTTCGCTCTTGTTGCCCAGGCTGGAGTGCAATGCCACGATCTCGGCCCACTGCAACTTCCACCCCCCATGTTCAAACAATTCTCCTGCCCCAGCCTCCCAAGTAGCTGGGATTACAGGCCTGCGCCACTACACCTGGCTAATTTTTGTACTTTTAGCAGAGACGGGGTTTCACCATGTTGGCCAGGCTGGTCTTGAACTCCTGACCTCAGGTGATTGCCTGCCTTGGCCTCTCAAAGTACTACGATTACAGGCATGAGCCACTGCACCCGGCCAATATCATGTTTTAATCAGGGAACTCTTAGCTCTAGTTCAAGAAGTGCAAACCTGATAATGTACTGAAAATGATGTAGCTGAAGGGACACATTGTTCTTCTATATTGGCCTCAAAAAGGTAGGAGGTTCTCTAAATGGACTTCTGTTATCTACACAGAGATCCATGGCATCTGTCATCCATGGAAGATCTAAATCTTAACTGCATTTTCTATATCCGTGGTTCTCAAACTGTGGTCCCTAAGACCTACAGCATCAGTGGAGGACTGATTAGAAATGCAAAACTAGGGCTCCCACTCCAGACCTACAGAATCAGAAACTCTGGATGGGGACCCAGCAATCTATTTTAACACATTTTCCAGGTGATTCTAATGCACAGTAAAGTTTGAGCACCACTTTTTTTTGTCCTTTGCCAAAAGGGAGGAGCCTGGAGGAAAACTCAGGGACAGGCCCAGTGGTTGTTATACAAAAATTGGACTTTCCCAAGAGGGGATGTAATGCCATGAGGTAGGGGATAGCATGAAGTCTCTCCAAAGAATGAGAATGACACTCCCTGACTAGGACAAAGTCAGAGCTAATTAATGCGGTATTACAGCAGATGCTTCTAATACTTGGTGAGCAGACAATGATAAAGCTCCCAAGAGTACTTGCCCATGGTCTTGAGTACTCTCCTGTAAGGGTGGGGGAGTCAGGGATAAGAACCTGATTCTAAGGCCTAAAATGGCAGTCTATTTCTGCCTAGTATACTCACTGGGACACACTGCCAAATAGAGATGATGCATAGACACCAGATAACCACTGATGACTGATAACGTCTCTGTTAATACATCCACCTTTACCCCATCAGGAACCAGGCAATCCTATAATTATCCCATTATTGTGGAAAAAATATATGTGGTTGAAGCCACACAGATCAAGAGAAAAACTCTAAGAATATGGCTCTGGAAGCAATAAACCTTAAAAAGTTGTAAGCTTGCTTATCTTTGCCTTTTAATAATATTGTGGTTTTTTTTTCAGCCTGATAATGTAGTTTTTGAGATGCAGCAACCAACTGTACATAATGTTCTATAAATGTACATGTGTCGTGATTTAAATACCTGTTTCAAGTTGATATCCTAAATAGTTATTAGTTTTTATTTATTTATTTATTTTTGAGACAGCGTCTCACTCTGTCACCCAGGCTGGTGGCATGATCAAGGCTGCCTCGACCTCCTGGGCTCAGGTGACCCGCCCACCTCACTGCCTGCCCCTCCCCCCACCTTCCCCAATAGCTGGAACTACAGGCTCGTGCCACCATGCCCAGCTTTTTTTGTATTTTTTGTAGAGATGGGGTTTTACCACGTTGCCCAGGCTGTTCTCAAACTCCTGGGCCCAAGCAGTCTGCCCGCCTTGGCCTCCTAAAGTGCTAGGATTACAGGCATGAGCCACTGCGTCCAGCATTATTTGTTTTAAAAGTAGTATATGACAGCTATAAACTAAAACAGCTAAGCCCTAGTAGATAAAGGTCTAGGGAATAAAAGCACTTATGTGTTACAAGACAACTCTGAAAATGTTACTGGCCCTATACACATAAGCGGAAGCTTTTCAACTTTTTCACAATGATATCAGAATAATTTTACCTGATTACAGAATAAAGCTGCAATACATTTCTCTTACAGTATGACACCTGTATTCACAATGTTCTACATAGTTTGTAAGCAGTAAACATTTTCTCACTGAATTATCAAAGCTGTATAGCAACTGAAGTTAGGCTATGAAGTCAGACAGAACCAGGTAGAAGTCTAACTCTGAAACTCACTAGGTATATGACTTTAGGTAAACGAATCTAAGCCTCAGTTTCTTCCTCTGTAAAATGGGAATAACTGTACCCACTTCATAAGAATGCCTTAAGGATTAAATAGTGCCTGTGAAGCGCTAAGGCTAGTACCCAACACTAGCACACAGTAAGCAAACAGAACAGTAGCCCCTAAAGATGTCCACATCCTTAATACCCAGAACTTGTATGTAATGTTACAGGGCAAGGGCTAATTAAGGTTGTAAATGGAATTAAGTTTGCTAATCAGCTGGCCTTAAAATGGAGAGATTATCCTGCATTATGCAGTTGGCCCAATGTAATCACGAAAGTCAATGTAAGCACGGTGGCGTACACTTGTAATCCCAGCACTTTGGGAGGCTGAGGCAGGAGGATCACTTGAGCCCAGGAGAGTTTGTGCCCAGCCTGGGCAACATAGTGAGACCCTGCCTCTTCAAAAATAAAAAAATTAAGTACTTTTTAAAAAAAAAAGAATATGCTTTTCTGCTGGTTTTGAAGGAAGAAGGGGCAATGAACCAAGGAATGCAGGTGGCCTCTAGATGCTGGAAAAGGCAAGGAAATGAATTGTCCCCTTAGGCTCCCAGAGGAAACACAGCCCCACCAACACCTTGATTTTAGCCCAGTGAGATCCATTTCTGACCTCCAGAACTGGAACATAAATTTTTGTTGTTTTAAATAACTGAGTTTATGGTAATTTGTTACAGCTGCAATAGAAAACAAATATACATTGTTGATTCCTTATTATTAACGCATGGCAAATAATTATTTCCCTTTCAATTAAAAATATATTTTTAAATAGCCCAAAATATGTCAGTCATAGAGATAACGAAATAGTGATAATTAGTGCTATGGTTAGTTAAATCAGTTTGTCTGAATGATTAATTTCACAAAATAATTTGAATTCAAAGGGATTCACTCTTTTTTTAATCTCCAATGATTTACCAAAAAGAGTGTCCCAAATATGATTATCATACTCTGGTGAATGAAAATAATCTGGTAAAATGAACCATCAATCACACTGTTAAATAATACAACAAGAAAATGAAATTCTAGAGAACACTGAAAAATATCATGTTCTGAGTTCTTATATAAGATTCAGTCACTGTAAACAGCTTGACAAAAAGGGTAAAAATCTATGAATGATGCTTCCTGTTGATAATACAATTTTCACTGAATAAAGAACTAATTTTAGAAACTCTACAAACATATTCATACCAAATAAACTTGCAAATGGCTAGAACATTAGTGAACATATGTGAAAGAATGCAATCTTAGTAAATGTGTTTTTAGTGTAAAATGCCAATTCTACATTTTAGATAGTGGCCTTCCTAAGATGAAATGTCCATATACCAGCTGAGACCCAGTTTATCCCTGGAGGTACAGGAAGAAATTTAGAACTTTAATTTTTAAAAATCGTATCCTTTTAAACTTTCGATTTTCCTCTGTGTATGTTTTATAATGTACTTAACAGATCAGTACAATAGTATACCCATCATTTATAGATAATCAAAATTTGGATCTTAAATTTTTTCTGATGGAGAGTGCATGATTGAAAAAGTCCAGAATGTCACTAACAAGAATTACCAAGCCACTGCCATTGTCATAGCCTTGTGCTTGATTTTGGTCTAAAAATGCACATATAGGTAGTTTAAACAAAAAATCTCCAGCAATTACTAAATCAAGTTTGCCATCAACCTTTTAAACAGGTTAACCACACACAAAAAGTGTGTCAAATGTTTCAAAGTAGCATTTATTTTTAAAAAATCATGTTATGAGGTAGACTTATATCACATATTCAATGCATTTATAATATAAAGGTTTTTTTAAATTAAAACCTTATATGTTTATGTAGGTGTGTATATAGATAAAATAAACTCATCTACAACTCTACATTCATCCATTTGAAAGACTCAAAACAATTAAAAAGGTAAAAAGCCAATTATAGTTTTAGAAAGCTTTTGTAATTCTGAAATGAAGAACATTTGATCTGTCCAAAAATTTGTGGGAAGGAGGTGGTTTTAATTTCAGAAGTTATTTTACTAAATTATACATTTTATAGCTAATTCTCAATGAATGTGAATATCTTTATTAGAAGGTAAGTGAAAGATACTGTAACTCTTTTATTACTTTGTACCCATCATGTCAAAATGATTACATCTAAGTAGGACCAGCTACATAATTTGCAAGCCCAGTACAAAATAAAAATGCAGTGCCCTTGTTCAAAAAGTTGAGAATTTCAAGATGGCTATAGCAAAGCATTAAAGTAAGCATGAGGCCTTTCAACTTTTTTTTTATTTTTTTTATTTTTTTGAGGCAATCTCACTCTGTTGCCCAGGCTGGAGTGCAGTGGTGTGCTCTCAGCTTACTGCAGTCTCAACTTCTTGGGCTCAGGTGATCCTCCCACCTCAGTTTCCCGAGTAGCTGGGACTATAGGTGTATGCCGCCATGCCTGGCTAATTGTGTTTTCATTTTTTGTAGAAATGGGGTCTCATTATGTTCCCCAGGCTGGTCTCAAACTCCCGGGCTCAAGCGATCCTCCTGCCTCGGCTTCCCAAAGTGCTGGGATTACAGGTGTGAGCTACTGCACCCAGCCTACATGGAATCTTTCTAAGTATGGGACACTATGTAACTGCACATGTACAACCTCTTTAAGCCAGCCCTGAATCTAAATCTCTTTCAACTACAGCTATGGAATACCAAGACGATAGTTATCTTTGTCCCTTGAGTTCCCAGTACTAAACTAGGCATATAATAGGGATTCAAATGTTCGTTGAATGAAAAACTGAGTCTTAACTTGCAGTTTTCCAAGTCAATGAGAAATGTTTGCTTGCTTATGGTCAGAACAGATCTTACCCTGATGAATATAGTCTGTTAATTATAATAATAAATGATGGATTCCTCTATTACGGAATAATCTGCACACTGCATTCTGCTGGCTTCATGAGAGCTTCAGGCCATATATGGTGAAGGTTCATTTGATTCATTCAACAAATATTTATTGAACAACTACTCTGTGTCAAGTCCTGTACCAGGCACTGAGGATACAAGAATAAATAAAACAGTCTCTGCCCTCAAGGAGCTTACAGTCTAGCATAAGAACTTAAAACACCTCAGAACCTACTGAGAAAAGTTTCTGGGTATCTAGTATATTGTCTGGAATACTCCAAATTTCCTAAAAATGTGAATCTAAAATTTATCAGGAAACACAGTTGGGCAATTGAAGATGCAGTGAAATTTAAAAGAAAATTCAAATATTCACCCTTTATGTAAAAACCATGAAATCTAAATGAGGGAGAAACTTAAGAAAGCTGAAAATCTACCTATTTTAAAGACTTTGGACCAGATTTAAACTTTAAAAATTATTTTATTATCTCTGGGTGACATTTTCATTTATAGTGGCATTTATATATACACATACATATAGGAGGTGAATGTGAGATATATTCCTTAGGGCTTTTGATAAAACCCATATCTTTATCCCTAGTTCATTTACAAGAGAGCAGCGTAATGGTAACTTTGAGATTTTCCTTTTGACAGTAATTTCCATTATCATTTGAATGGGAGAAATTCTTAGGACATGATTTGGAATCATTTCTAGAATATAAATTTCATATAATCTTATTTTATAATGAGACAAAACTGTGTCTTTGTAACAATACGTGATAATTTAAGCCTATGTTTTAATGGTTATTGACAAAGTTTAATGGCATCCAAAATACTCTTATGTCTATCTGAATTTTTTTCCTGTACTCTTCTTTTTTCTTAAAAGCATGATAGACCCCTCTGCAAATACAGAGCCTTTGTTGTTGCTTTGCTGTACTTTGGTACCTTGCTGTTTATTCCTTAGTCTAGCAGCATCCTTAGTTTGTAGTATATCTTACTTAGTTGCAACTAAAAAAAATTGCTAGCCTAGGCTTTAACTGGGAGTTTCTATTATCTAGAAGGTTACTGTGAACCTTTCAGAAAAGTGGAAAGCAACCAAAAGAGCTGTCTCAAAGACTGTGTCCCCCCAGAGTTTGTCCAGCTCTTACTGTAGACACTCTGAACAGGCACGGTTATCTCATGTCCAAAGCTCATAACAGCACATTAGAAGAAAGTGGGGAGCCTGTTAGAAGCAGGCATATTGATAGTGTGGGAGAAGACATAGCAAATTACTTAGCAGATATTTTAAAAATTTTAAAATCCAACAGCAGTCTGAGGCAAATGATTCTGTATACCTCAGGGCTGAGAGAATCACTTTATAACATATTTGTTATAGCCCTTTACATTTTATGAAGTGTTTTACATACATCAGAGCTGGATACTTATAATAATACATTATGAATATAACTTTAACTTTTCATCATGAAAATGTGAATTATACTGAGCATGATGTTTAAGAAGAAGGCAGGAAGGTATACTAACATACCTGAAATACTCACATCAAAAATAATTACAAGTTTTAAATGTTGGCACTTGAGAGATATACATTAGCTATCCAAAAATTCATATGTACGGTTTCCTTCAAGACCAACACGGGGTATCACTGAGTGAATTTTCACAGCGCTCAGTGACTGCTGGTCATTAAATGGGGATGATTGTCATCAGTATAAGTATCACACTATTTGTCCTGCTAAATGCAAGTTAAAAGATACTTATGGATGCCACTACCACATATTCTGACAAATAAGGGAAACACTAGGCTTTTAAAAGATTCTTAGAGTGTTTTCCCTATATTGCACTTTCTAGATAACACAATTTTAACAATGATATAATGTGATCTTGGTTCTAGACACAGCAGTGGGGAACACATGAATTTACCTTTTTCTTGTTCCTTTTCTTAAAGTTTTTAGTATAGTCTCAGGAATATAGCAAGGAGAAATAACAAAATATACATGTGCTTTGGGCTTCTGAGGAAAAAAGACCACCCACACACATTTTTAAAAGACTAAAATAGACGTCTCTTCTGCTTTAGCCATTTCATTTTCACAACTGAAAATAAGGAACTACTATATATTTGATGTCCCTAACTCATTAAACATAGCATTGCCATAAATGCACTGTTCTGCGGAAAACTTTTTAAAACAGTAGAACAATTTGTACTGCATTTACTAACAATTATACTACATTACCAATTATCATGAATTATGAATAAAAATTACTGAATAAAATTCAGAGTAAAAAACATCAGATTAGATTTTACTCTTAAGTGAAATGGGGCTTTGAAATGTTAAGATGTAATTTCTTCCAATACTATAGCATTCCTAATGCCCTTTAATTCCTTGATTAATATTCCTTGCTAACTTTTTGATCATCACCATATCTCAAGGAGGACAAAGGTTCTTTTGAGTTTGCTGGCTGTTAATTTTTAATTCTCATCTGTGTGGCTCGGTTTTTTTTCACAATGCCGTTTATCCTTAATTTTTCTTTTCTATTTTATAGCTGCTTATTCTGCTTGAAGTTTTTTAGTCAGGAATGGCCAGAATGTGTGCCCTGAGTTTATGATATTCTCATGGAAATTGTTAATCTTATGAATTTTTTTTACATGATACACACGGTAAGCTAGCTCTATAATTAAAAAAAAAAAATCCAGAAGATACTAAACAAATAACAGGCCAGCTTACCATACTTTACAAACTAAAGAGCACAATGGTAAAGCAGTAAGCACAGGCTTTGGACAAGACACAAACCTGGGTTTGAATCCCAGTGCTGCCACTCACTGCTAACTCTATGACTTAAGGCAAGTCATTTAATCTTTCTGACCCACTATTACCTCCAAATTAAATTGGGGCTCATTCCACCTACCCTGCAAGTTTTTGTGAGGGTTAGTAGTGAAGTCTGTATATTATTTGACACATGATAGGTACTCTATAGTAAAGAATCATTGGCTGAATTTTGAGTTGGGTAACTTGCTGGTCTAGCATCTGACATGAACTCTTTCCAGAGTTGATACGATTTATGAAACTTCTTTTGAATGTCAATATGACCACAGTACTTGGTAGGTATTTTTAAATAATAACAGTTTGGGTGTTTTCACCTCCAAAACTAATTTTATTTTATTTTATTTTTTTTTTTTTTTTTGAGGCAGAGTCTCGCTCTGCTGGTCAGGCTAGAGTACAGTGGTGCGATCTCGGCTCACTGCAACCTCTGCCTCCCAGGTTCATGCGAGTCTCCTGCCTCAGCCTCCTGAGTAGCTGGGATTACAGGCACCTGCCACCACGCTTGGCTATGATTTTTGTATTTTTGGTAGAGACAGGGTTTCACCATGTTGGCTAGGCTGTTCTCAAACTCCTGACCTCAAGTGATCCACCCACCTCAGCCTCCCAAAGTGCTGGGATTACAGGCATGAGCCACCATGCCCAGTCTATTTTTATTTTTTGAGACAGGATCTGGCTCTATTGCCCAGGGTGGAGTGCAATAGTGCAATCTTGGCTCACTGCAGCCTCTGCCTCCCAGGCTCAAACCATCCTCCCACCTCAGCCTCCTGAGTAGCTAGGACTACAGGCGTGTACCAACATGCCCATCTAATTTTTGTATTTTTGGTAGAGATGGGGTTTCGCCATGTTGCCCAGACTGGTCTGGAACTCCTGGGCTCAAGTGAACCTCCCACCTTGGCCTCCCAAAGTGCTGGGATTACAGACGTGAGCCACCATACCCATCCCTATTTTCTTTAAAAAATGTGTTTTTTACAAAATGTATGGTAAGTATATGTATTTACTGTGCTTTGTGATAATTTTCTCAGTGACAAAAAATTTCCAATTTTGTTAACATCCATGGTAAAATGATCTAATTTCAAAAATTTGTTCTAGAGCCAAGATCCTTATAACCTCTATAAATGTGTGTGAATAGTTAGTTGGCAGGTCCTACAAAGAAATGTCATTTTTATTCATGTATTTTGGGTTGTTTAAACATTTCTGTAAGATTTAAAATACTTTTCTTCTTATGGCTAGAATTCTCAGCATCTACTCCCATGCCTGCCTTTCTAAAATCTATTGGCCAGTTTAAGGGTATTTACAATAATACAACTTAAAGACAAAGTGTCCATAAGTCATTATTTCTAACAGACAGCATAACACAGTAGAAATTGCCCTGACCAAGGAATTAGAAGACTGGAATTCAAGTCCTAACTCTGCCACTAACTTTGCAGGATGACCTTAGGCAAGTCATGTCACTTCTCTCATTTGTCAAATAATGCAAATGATTCCATTCTAAGGTATTTTCCACCTCTAAAATTGCTTTCATTTACTATTATTATTTTTTAAATAATGAAAACACTTTCTGGGAATTGTCTTAAGCCCAAATGGGTAGAGAAGAATTTTTTTTTTTTTTTTTTTTTTTTGAGACAGAGTCTCGCTCTGTCGCCTAGGCTGGAGTGCAGTGGTGCAATCTCGGCTTACTGCACCCTCTGCCTCCCGGGTTCAAGTGATTCTCTTGCCTCAGCCTCCTGGGTAGCTGGGATTACAGGTGAGCACCACCACGCCCGGCTAATTTTTGTATTTTTAGTAGAGATGGCGTTTCACCATGTTGGTCAGGCTGGTCTCGAACTCCTGACCTTGTGATCCACCCACCTCGGCCTCCCAAAGTGCTGGGATTACAGGCATGAGCCACTGCGCCTGGCCGAGTAGAGAAGAATTTACTGCTGATTAAGGTTGTGTTTTTCAACCTGCAATCCCGAGACCCTCAGAATAAAGATTACTTGAGGTTGCTATGAAAAATACAGATTCCTGTCCTCCCCCTGGCTGAATCAGAATCTCATAAGGTGAGGCTCAGGTTTCTGCACTTTTCACAAGCTCTGTAATGGTTACAGTGCACCCTAATGTTTGAGAACCAGTGGCCTAAAGAGAATGCAACCTAAGAGGGCAAGGCTAGTGCATAGCTTAAATCGCTCCAGCCTTTGGTAATCCCTTCTAAACACAGTACCACCCATGTGGAGGAGACTGCAAGGAAGCTGTTATTCAAAGTAGAACAGTCAGCCTTGTGCTTGAGTCCTGCTTTATGCTTGCGTGTTTCATAACAAAACACAAAGGCAAGTCTTCATATCAGCACTTAGTCTTGATATCCAAGTAGCTGACTACTGTACTTATGATAACAGCTTGAAGAGGACTGCAACTCTCCCCTCACGAATGGTGACAGAGTTGGCTTGTCACACCTGGCTCAGGGAAGAAAAATGAGTAAACCCCTACCTCTTTACTCTTGATTCCTCTTCCACCCTAATACTGTTAACACATCATCCTGTGTGATTCAAATAATCTGGCAGATGAAATACAGAAAATCTAAGTCATATTGTTCTTATCACTCTATGGCCAGATATTATACTAATCTAATTTTAAAAATCCTTTTCTGTGCAATAGAAATAACCAAAGCTCATTCTGTCTCCTTTCCTTTCTAATGCTGTTGATAGGAACAAAATATCAAGTAAGGATACATGCTAGAGATGTTAAATTCATACAAGTAAAGTAAATTACAAAGAGAGGTGGTAATATTTTTTTCTAGAATTTCACAATAAAATCCCTCTCACCATGAAAATCTTTTTATAATTTTAACAGGAAACTTAAAAGACATTTTGTTGCAAGACTATCTTAACAATTATAAGAATAATGCCATTATCTGTGCTCAATATAGATAAACATAACAGTAACTTTAAAAGGCCAAGTATACTCATAAGTGAGGATGAAATTTATTTTTCAACAACCAATATGCCAATATCCAACTTCTAGGTTTTATTCAATTCTAATGTCATGGGTTTCTCCTACCCCAGTCAAAACTCCTGCCAAATGTCCACAAAATTGACACCAAAATCAACAAACACAAAGAAAGAGAGGGACAGGGAGAGGGAAAGAGAAATAGAGAGTGAGGAAGGAAGGAACGTGACAAGAGCTACCATGCAAAATGACCAGAAGAACTGGAGTTCAGTGGCACAGATCAGCAGGAGCAGAGGAATGCTGCAAAAGATGATGCTGCATAGAGTCTAACTTGGAGATGCCTGTATGATGCTGGATGACCAAGTACTAAGGTCACAAGTGTGTTCATGGACCCATAAGAACCAGGATCTTGACCCAAACTTATAAGATCTTCTAAAAAGAAAATACTTCATCTAAATTGAAGCAATTCCTAAGTCAAACACCAGAAGAGTTCCTTATTTGATGTAAGTTGTGCCTAAAACTTTGGCTGATACAAAGAAACCCGTCCACTAAGGCACCCTGAGGCAATCTGACAATGTGTTGGAGAGAACTTTGTTGTCAGTACCACATCATTATGAGAGTACAGAGAACGGATCACCCGCAGGGGACTGGCTTCTTTGGGCAAGCAGTCAACAAGTTCACTGCACTGTTTGTCAAATCCCAACAAGCGAATCCCATAGCCATGTGGGGAAGAAATCATTCGTCCATCGGGGCTGAAGCAAAGTTCTTTGATGTAACCCCTGCCTACATTGGCTTCTTCAATGTAATGAGTCAGTCGTAGAGAACAGCGAGGTGAGACAGGTCGCACTGGAGCTCCTTCTTGGAATTCATAGACACAAGTACACTAGGGGGAGAGAAGGGAGACAAACCAAGGTTACAGAGCCCAAATAGTGCTACAGATATTCCTTATTTTTAAAAAGCTCAACAGATTGCCAAAGCCACAGAATTTTTACAAGAAATCACTCAGAATAATGCTATCCCCCTCCCAACTAACAAAACTTGTAGGCCCCCTACTTTCTTATCTTCATAAGCTGAGGTTATTCTGTGTTATGATGCTTTAAAGCCTTTTGTTCCCTGAGGCTGCCTGTGACTTTTGCAGTAATACATTCTCTTTTCTAAGGGCAACAACAATGTTGATATTTTAAAAATTCCTGGAGTACATCCAAGCCCTAGAGTATCTTACCTCTTCCCCTACACAATTCAAAGGCTCTTCTCTTCTCTCCTTTCAGTTGTGGCCTCTAGGACCAGTGAGATCCTTGGAAGACTCTTGCTTTCCAGAGTGATGAGAATCATAAAGTCATTTAACACCTTTCCCCCTAGTCATCAGTATAGTCCCTTCCTTTCCCAGAGTTTCCCCTGGTTTTTAAAAAAAGAAAATTATGATACTCAATTGGCTTAGTAAAATCTCACATTTAGCCAGCTTAGCTGAAACATTTCAGACCTATGTTTATTATACAAGGGGTTTTTGTTTGTTTGTTTGTTTGTTTGTTTAGGGTGAGATGAAAGAGGCAAGATTTAAGAAGCTGGGCAAAAACTGAGCTGATGCTGGCCTTTAAAGTACCTCCCACCTTGCTCAACCCCAGCAGGAGAGGAATAAGAAGAGTTTGGAAGGGATAATGATACCATATGAAGCAAGAGAGGACAGAAACAGGAGAGTCGAGAAGCAGGATCTCTAGCAGTATGCCCTTGAAGGCAGAGACTGCAGTCAGCGATCGGCCTAAGCTCTGCACACACGGCAATGGCAATTTGTCCAATGAGCCCTGTTGAAGGTGGAGTGCTGCTGCCTGTACCTCCTCATCATCACTGTTGCTTGAGCACCGAAGAAGAGTGGCCCAGCCTTTTGGGTGCAGCTGTAAGGACGTGATGCAGTTTCCGTGGTCACTCTCACCAAGAACTTCAGGGGTTACGACTTCAAGACTATTTCGTGGTGAAACTCCTGAGATATAAGAAAATGAGGATGTGGGATTTGTATTATCAAAAAACTAAGGCAGTTCATCAAAGCTTTTTATTTCTGGCAGCCACCTCCCATGCCGTCATTCCTTAGTCTGCCCCTTATGCTACCATATGTTAAAGAGCGTGGTACTCCCCAATGTATGGTGTGTGAGTTTTGGCGGGGTGAAGGTGTGGGGAAAGGGTATAAATAGAACAAAAGATCCAAGTTCCCACAGCAGTAATTGTCACTGACCTAAGGCTAAGGCATAGAAGCTGACTAGGGGTTCTTTTATTTGGATCTTACATCTCAGAAAGCTCTTTATTTAAGTAAGAACCAAAGTTATGTGACATGAAAGGACTCTAGAAAGGTAAAAGGTAACAATTCTCCTCTCATTGGTCCTGGTGCTTTCTGGTCCAGAGAAGGAAATACTTGGAAGCCATGAGGATTGCCTTTTAAGCAAATAAAAAGATCAGGACTTAAGCACCTGCAATAACAACACTATAAACAAAAAATAAAATGTTGGAGGTAAGAAAGGACACCTCACATAAAGGCATGTCAAAACAAGGGATGGGAGACATTGCCAATCATAGACTCTACTATGCCTCATCATTTCCTTCTACCTAACTCCCAATGAAAATGACTGCTGGAGTAAGGCACTGTTAATAATAGGAATATGTTATATCCTTCAGGTGCGTGAAAAACCACTTTCATAGACACTGTAAGGAAGCAACTTAGAAATTTAATAGCAAGAGAAATATTTCAACACTTCTCTGACTGTGGAAGGAGTTATTTTGAAGGTATTGAGCTCCCTCTGTCAGATCCTTTGTGAATTGCTTGTCAAGCAGATGTGTTACCTTCTTTCTAAAGATTCCCTTCAGATTACTACATCATTAACAGAAACCTGTGAAGCTCTAAATTACACTGCTATAACAAAACTATACTGAAATAACTATTTCACATATGATTGAACTTTAACAATTTTAGAGAAAAATATACTCTTATTTTAAGAATTAATTTGGAAAACCTATAACAAAACCAGACAAGAAATGCATTCTAAGTAGGTGGTTTGCTAACTGTGCTCCTTTGGGGTTCCTCAGGAGATGGCAAAAGTGGGGAACCACGTGTGGGCTGAGGTGTAGATGGAGTGGGGAAGGCTGGAGGGTCAAGAGCCTCCCTAATTTTTCTTGAACCAGAGCTACTTTGATTTTATTTGTGCTACATCTCTAAGAATCCACAGCAGATTTCATGTCAAAAATAGAGTTCTAATGCTGAAATGCATTTGAAAGCCTCTGCTCTATACAGCTATTATATCTGCCAAAGGATAGTGTTAACATACTCTGACATCTGAAGATCCAGGATTTCCAACATTTAGAGCAACTTCACCTATAAGCCCCACCTTCTCCCATGTTTTCCCTCTCTTTTCACCCTCTCATTTTCCTCTTCTTCCCAGCCTCCTCATATATCATCTCTTCCCTCATTCTTAACTCTCTGTGGCATAGAACTGCTGTATATTTGTGTTTGTGTGTTTACCACTGGTCAATAACAAGCAAGCATGTTAACTATTCTTCTTAAATTAAGTTTCTTTTTCTTGTGGATGGTGTAGTCAATCAATAAAGATTTTTCTCAATGATTATTAGAAGCCTTGACTTGTTTCCCATAGCACAAGTGGAAGGAGAACAGGAAGAATCTGCAAAAGATGTTTGTGTTACAAATCAAAGGAAAAATGTTATACTTCTGGGCATAAATCTTTAAATTTAAGAGGAGGAGCCTTTAACCTTAAAGTGAAATATCACAGACTTCAATATCCAGAGGCAAGTGGATAGGCCATATAGGTTAGAAAGAGCTCTTAAACCATTCTACTGACATAAGTAGCCATGCAAGATAACCAGCATCTACTAGGCAAAGCCACCCAGTGAAAACACAAATTAGAAGTCTAAGATTTAGTCTCTGCCCAAAATAACAAGGTAGAGAAATGTCTATCTCCAAAAGTGACCCAAAATGACAAAAAAAAAAGCAAGCCATCTCTGGCTCTTAATACTCAGTTCACAAAGAGAAGAATAAACAATGAATGGTATAAGAGCTTAGACGTCAGTTAGTATGAAGAGGAACAGTATGTGGAATTTGTATAGGCAGAAACCATTTCAACTGGGGGGGTGTGGTGGAAGGTATAGGGCAGAGCAACTAGTTCTGCCAGAATGGCTAGGAAAAAACTGGGAAATACAGAGAGGAGCCAGATGGTAGCTCACTTTATCCTACAAACCCTTGGAAGCTGTCAGGCATTGCACAGACAAGGAAATGGCAGAGCAAAAAGTCTGAGGGTAACCAGGTGACTTTCACAATTACCTGAAAATTCATGACTTATATTTATACAGAGCTTTCACGTGCATAATCTCACTTAATTTTCACAACAATCTTGATTGAAATCTATATTTCTGAACTACTTCCTCTCCAAACTAGACCAAACTAAGTCCAGCTAATAAAACCAAAGCTCAAGTTCTATTAAGATTTAACTCAAGATATTCAACCCCAGGGACTCTCGGTTAGCTTTTTGAAGATGATGACTGAGGGATAAATCACCTCATCTCCATTGCTTTTATTTTTATGGATTAAAACCATAAAACTGGTTTTAATCAATCAATAATTAATCAGATTGGCATAATCTGTTGTTACAAGATTATAAAATCCAACTTTTAACCTACCTTCTCTTTGAGAGGCTCGTGACATGTGTTTCTCAGAAGAATTAGAATCACTATGATGACAAGGTGAGCCAGAAACTCTAGGACCAGATGAACTTGATGAAGTGGTCAAATCTTAAAAATATAAAAAATTCTGACAATAAACCTAGCATAACTCTGGTAGTGGCTCTTAACTTTTTAATTATCTACTCGAACCATAGTTTTAAAATTTTGAAAAAATGCTCATATATCACTGGCCTATAAGACTGAGGAAGGCAAGACAGCTCTTTGAAGTGTTCTAAGATCTAGTCCCTTTCTGAATCTTTTATATCAAAGACTTGACTATGTGAAATAAAAATGAAAAACCAAATAATCATAGGAGCGTCTTTGGATCCTCATGATTTCTGTACTAAAATGGAACCCAAAAATTCCATGAAAATGAAAACTAAGCTCTTAAGCCTATTGTTTTATGTTAAAATAGGGTCCAAACAACAGGCCCATTACCAGAAACATGAAGAGATTCTTCTTTAAAGTATACCAAAAACTTCCATTATCATTCTTGAAATTACGTGAATAGTCTTTTTTTTTGAGACAAGGATCTTGCTATGTTGCCCAGGCTGGACTCCTAATTCCTGGGTTCAAGTGATCCTCCTGCCTCAGCCTCAGCCTCCTGAGTAGCTGGGCCTAAAGGCATGCACCACTGTGCCAAGTTTATGTGAATACTGTGAAATGTGACATAAAGTTTACATTGAAAAAAATAAAATGAGTATCAGGTAGTGGAGTCTGATATATTACTCCAAATAGCAGTGTCTATTTCATCATCACATTTTGCTAGTGGTCCCATACCTATGTTAAGAATTCTTACTAGTCTAATTTCCTGTAATGTTATTTAGTATCAGAATTACCATTAGAAAACTGAAAACCTTGTTGGTTTTTGAGTTGAAATAGGCCAACTAGACATTCAAAATCACTATTTCTCACTAAGTTAGAGTTGCTTATCATGTTTAACTTAAAAGGCAAATTTGAATCTCAAAGGATTATACTCGTATATTTATGAAATCCCTTGTTTGCAAGTAAGTTGGTAAAACTTAAATTTCTACTTTTGACAGTTATGCCAGGCACTGCAGTACAATGATGTCTGTACTTTCCCAAAGGAATTTTCAGAAGTGGTCCTGTGCACAAGGAGAAAGATTCCAACCTTTTTTTTCATTTCCTTTTTTTTGGACACAGGGTCTTTCTCTGTTGCCCAGGGTGGAGGGCAGTGGGGCACAATCATGGCTCACTGCTGCCTCAACCTGCCAGGCTCAGGTGATCCTCCTGCCCCAGCTTCCTGAGTAGATGGGACTACAGATGCATGCTAGCATATCTGGCTAATTTTTGTGTTTTTCGTAGAGACAGGGTTTCACCATGTTGCCCAGGCTGGTCACAAACTCCTGGGCTCAAGCGATCTGCTCACCTCAGTCTCTCAAAGTGCTAGGATTACAAACGTGAGCCACTGCACCTGGCTAAATTTTTAAGTTATTTGTAGAGATGAGGTCTTCCTATGTTGCCCAGGCTACCCTTGAGTTCAACTCCTGGGCTCAAGCGATCCTCCCACCTTGGCCTCCCAAAGTGATGGGATTACAGGTGTGAGCCCCCGCACCTGGCCCCAACCATTCAAAGCTGCCTTTTAATAGCAATTTATTAGCATTCTATGTTCCAAATGCTTAAGTCTTTTTTCCCCTGGATTTTTGTTTATAATGTAAATGATGGGTATGTCCCCACACCAGTCCCCTCTTTCCCAAAGGTAGATGAAATATAGTCTTTTTTAAATCACATAATGTTGATAAAATACAATACGTACATTTTTCTGAACCCTAAATTCTCTTAAGTCTAACAAAATCAGCAATGGGAGAAGAGACAGAGTTTTAGCAAAAGAGCGTTTAGAGAGTAATGAGATAAGATGGCACCAGCTACCTGTGTCTGGACATCTGTAAGTCTAGGATACAGATAAAACTAAAACTCTATATTGACCATAATTTAATAAAAGCTCTGCTTGATTCCAGAAGGACTTAAGACCTTGTGCCATCACTAATTTTTGAGATAGTGATGATTCAAAATTACTGATGAAAAGATCCTGTGGCTAGCATAAAGCTAAAAGAAAATACTTTAGGGTCAGCAGTTATTCCTCCTAGTCCATTTGTGATTCAGAGGTACATATGAATGATATGTCAGAGATACATACAAATCATTATACTTGCTTAGATAAAAACCCATCAATGAGCTTTCTAAAGAATGCCTTTTAAAAAACTGTCTTCCCTTTTCCTGCTATCATTTTCAGAAAAGAAACCTATACCATCTCTATGTTTGAGATTCTCGAGAAAAATCTTTTTGACCAAAAAAGAAAAGCTTACCTGAACTTGAAGTAGTTCTTCTTGCTCTTAAAATGGGATAGCTGCCTACTTCTAAAGACTTAGTTAAGTCAAGGTCATGCAAAATTAAGAGATATCCAGAGGACGTTGAAATCAACATTTTGGAACAATCTGGTGTTAACCTCATTCGCATGAGAAAACGTGTGTGAAAGAATTTCTTATGTGGACACCCATCTTCTGTATACCTACAGGAGAAACCAAGCCAACAAAATCTAGAGTTATCATAAATATAACGGTTCAGTAATAATCATATTTTTTGCCCTTCAAAATAAAATGTAGGGAGGATGAGAAGAGCTTGGTCAATGGGCTCAAAATTACAATTAGGAGGAATAAGTTCTAGGGTATTAATATTGCACAGTAGGGTGATGACGGTTAATAGTAAGATACAGTATATTATAAAATAGCTAGAAGAGCGACTGTTACATGTCCTTACCACAAAGGAATGATAAGTGCATGCTAATACTGATTTGCTCATTATACAACATATATGTGTCAAGACATCAAATTGTACCCTGTAAATATGTGCAGTTACAATGTGTCAATTAAAAAATATTTGAGGCCAGGCATGGTGGCTCATGCCTGTAACCCCAGCACTTTGAGAGACCAAGGCAGGAGGATTGCTTGAGCCTAGGAGTTCAAGACCATCCTGGGCAAGATGGTGACCCCATCTCTACAAAAATTTAAAAAATTAAAATAAATTAGCTGAGTGTGGTGGTGTGCACTCATAGTTCCAACTACTCAGGAGGCTGAGGTGGGAGGATCACGCGAGCCTGGGAGTTTGAGGCTGCAGTGAGCTATGATCACACGACTGCACTCCAGCCTGGGTGACAGACAGACAGACCCTGTCTCTATTCAAAAAAAAAAAAATTGAAACTTCAAAAATGAGATGTCTTTCCAATAAATTTTACTTTTTATGTTAATAATTATTATTTAAAATAATACATGTTGTTTTAATCAATTGTGGACTAATAATATTGTAATGATCATTAAATCCAGAAGAAATGTAACACTAATAGCCCTGTGGTCACAGAAAACAATTTTTAAAATTAATGTCAGTTTACGTGCATATTTTTGATGCCAATAAGAATGATCAGTAGGCTAGGGGTGGTGGCTCACACCTGTAATCCCAACACTTTGGGAGGCTGAGGCGTGAGGACAGATGGAGCCCAGGATTTCAAGACCAACCAGGGCAACATAGCAAGACCCTGTCTCTACAAAAAATAAAAAGTTAGCTGGAGACTGAGGTGCGAGGATGGTTTGAGCCTGGGATGTGGACGGTGCAGTGAGCCATGATTGCGCCACTGCACACCAGCCTGAGCATATAACAGGATATAATTCTATGAGAAAATATAATGAAAATGAGTACCAGAAGAAAAAGTTGTAAAACTTCCAGCTGTTAAAAAAAATAGAATTTACAGTCAATGTATATTGAGATTTACATACATGCTTAACAATCTTTTTGCTCATCATTCCTTCGTTCATCTCCAAAATTCCTTTTTTGATCCTTTCTTTCTGAAGTATATCCCTCAGAATTTTTTTTTTTTTTTTTTTGAGATGGAGTTTTGCTCTTGTCGCCCAGGCTGGAGTGCAATGGTACTGTCTCAGCTCGCTGCAACCTCTGCCTCTCGGGTTCAAGCGATTCTCCTGCCTCAGCCTCCCAAGTAGCTGGGATTACAGGCACGCACCACCACACCCATGCCTGGGATTACAGGCATGAACCACCATGCCCGGCCAGAATTTTTTAAAGTTAGACTTTGTTGAGGTAAATGCTCTCGCTTTTTATTGTTCTGAAAATCTTTTTTTTTTTTTTTTGAGACGGAGTTTCACTCTTGTTGCCCAGGCTAGAGTGCAATGGCGCGATCTTGGCTTACTGTGAACTCCGCCTCCTGGGTTTAAGCGATTCTCCTGCCTCAGCCTTTAAAAAAAATAAAATTTTTTAATGGTGTACATGATGTTTCAAATATGTATATATTGTGGAATAGCTAAATCAAGCTAATTTATATATATATATATATATATATATATATATATATAACCTCACATACTTAACATTTATGATGATAACACTTAAAATCTACTTTTAACAAATTTCAATTATATATAATAACAACAGTAAATTGTCATTAACAGTGGTCATCATGTTGTACAATATACATCTCCCAAGTAGCTGGGATTACAGGCACCTGCCACCACATCCAGCTAATTTTTCACATTTTTAGTAGAGACGGGGTTTCACCATGTTGGCCAGGCTGGTCTCAAAATCCTGACCTCTGGTGATCCACCGCCTTGGCCTACAAAAGTGCTGGGATTATAGGCGTGAGCCACCATGCCCAGCCTGTTCTGAAAATCTTTATTTCACTCTTTTAAGAGACTGGGTCTCCCTCTGTTGCCCAGGCTGGGGTGCAGTGGCATAATCATAGCTCACTATAACCTCAAATTCCCAGGCTCAAGGAATCTTCCCACTTCAGCCTTCCGAGTAGCTGGAACTACAGGTGTGCACCACCACTCCTGGCTAATTTTTAAATTTTCTGTAGAGATGGGGTCTTGCTGTGTTGCCCAGGCTAGTCTTGGAACTCCTGGTCTCAAGTGATCCTCCCACTTCAGCCTCTCAAAGTGCTGAGATTATAAGTATGAGCCACTATGCCCAGCTCAACTCATCTTATTGAATAAAGGTTTAGCTTAGCATATAATTTTAGGTCGTTGTTTCCTTCTGAATATTTAGGATAATTTTCCACAGAGTTCTATTTTCCATTGTTACTATTTGTGAGTCTGCTATTAGTCTGACTATTACTTTGCGTAATTTATCTTTTTTCCCCCCTCTGGTGAATCTTCTCTCTGTCTTTAGAGTACTGCAATTTCACTGGTATATGTAAATTTGGATCTCTTTTTATTTATCTTTACTGGGATTCATTTGACTTTCCAAGTCTTAAGATTCGTATTATTCATATATTCTGAAAGTTTCTCAGTCATTATTCCAATATTGCCTCTCACTGATTTTCCCTATTCTTTTAGAGCTCCAAATATATGTATGAAACATTCATGTTTGACTCTCCTTTTCTTATAACTTGCTTCTTTATATTTTCTATCTTTTCATTTCAGTATCTTTTTCATATTATATTCTGGGTAACTTTTCAATATCTATTTTCATATATATTTATTTATTTATTTATTTATTTTGAGACAGAGTCTTACTCTGTCGCCCAATGCAGTGGCATGATCTTGGCTCACTGCAACCTCTGCCTCCCAGGTTCAAGCGATTCTCCTGCCTCAGCCTCCCGAGTAACCGGGATTACAAGCGCCTGCCATCACGCCCAGCTAATTTTTGTATTTTTAGTAAAGATGGGGTTTTACCATGTTGACCAGGCTGGTCTCAAACTCCTGACCTCAAGTGATCCACCCGCCTCGGCCTCCCAAAGTGCTGGGATTACAGGTGTGAGCCACTGTGCCCAGGCAGTTTATGCCCTTTATTTTAAAATTTGCTTATTGGCTAGGTGCAGTGGCTCATGCCTGTAATCCCAGCACTTTGGGAGGCCGAGGTGGGACGATCACTTGAGCCAGAAGTTAGAGACCAACACGGGCAACATAATGAGACACTGTCTCTATGAAAAAATGCAAAAGTAGCCAGGCAGAGTGTCACACCTGTGGTCCCAGGTACTTGAGAGGCTGAGGTAGGAGGATGGCTTGAGCCCAGGAGGACAGGGTGGTAGTAAACTATGATTGTGCCACTATATTCCACTCTGTCGCTCAAGCTGGAGTGCAGTGGCACAATCTCGGTTCACTGCAGCCTCCTCCTCCCAGGTTCAAGCAATTCTCCTGCCTTAGCCTCCCAAGTAGCTGGGATTACAGGTGTGTGGCACCACACCCGGCTACTCTTTGTATTTTCAGTACAGACAAGGTTTCACCATGTTGGCCAGGCTGGTCTCGAACTCCTGATCTCAAATGATCCACCCGCCTTGGCCTCCCAAAGTGCTGGAATTAGAGGCATGAGCTACCGCACCAGGCCTAAAAAAATGAGTTTTTTTAATGGTGTACATGATATTTGAAATATGTATATATTGTGGAATGGCTAAATCAAGCTAATTTATATATATATATATATATATATATATATATATATATATATATATATATATATATAAAATATATCCTCACATACTTAGCATTTATGATGATAAAACTTAAAATCTACTTTTAACAAATTTCAATTATATATAATAACAACAGTAAATTGTCATTAACAGTGGTCATCATGTTGTACCTTATAAATCTCTTGAACTTTTATTCCTCCTAACTGAAATGTTGTATTTTTTGACCAAAGTTTCCCCCAACTGTACTCCACCCACCTGTCCCCAGTCCCTGGTAACCACCATTCTACTATCTGCTTCTATGAGTTTTTGACTTTTTTAGATTCTACATGTAAGTGATATTTGTCTTTCTGAGCCTGGCTTATTTTGTTTAATATAATGTCCTCCAGGCTCATTCGTATTGTCGCAAATGACAAAATTTCCTTCTTTCTTAAGGCTGAATAGTATTTTGCTGTGTATATTACAACATTTTTAATCCATTCATTCATTGATGGACGTTTAGGTTAACTCCATATCGTGGCTACTGTGAATAGTGCTGCAATGAACATGAGAGTGCAGATATCTTTTTGACATAGTGATTTAATTTCCTTTGGATATATACCTAGTAGAAGGATTGTTGGATTTATATGGTAGTTCTATTTTTAAGTTTTTGAGGAACCTCCCTACTGTCTTCCATAATTTATATCTAATGACCTTTGTTAAATCTTACTAATTCTGATAATTTCTCTGAGGAATTTGTAAGATTTTCTATATAGAACAGGGAGTAGAAAACTTTGGCCTATGGGCCAAATTTGGCCCACTTTTATCTATTTTATGTTTTAAAGACAGGGTGTCAATCTCTTGCCCAGCCTAGAGTGCAGTGGTGCAATCATGGCTCACTGAAACCTTGAACTCCTGGGCTCAAGGGGTCCTCCTGTCTCGCCCTCTTGAGTACCTGGGACTACAGGCACACACGGCCACACCTGGCTAATGTTTTAAATTTTTTGTTGTTGTTGTTGTTGAGATGGAGTCTTGCACTGTTGCCCAGGCTGGAATGCAGTGGTGCGATCTCGGCTCACTGCAACCTCCGCCTCCCAGGTTCAAGCGATTCTCCTTCCTCAGCCTCCTGAGTAGCTGGGATTACAGGCACCTGCCACACCTGGCTAATTTTTTTGTATTTTTAGTAGACACGGGGTTTCACTATATTGGTCAGGCTGGTCTCGAACTCCTGACCTCATGATCTGCCCACCTCAACCTCCCAAAGTGCTGGGATTACAGGTATGAGCCACCGTGCCTGGCCATGTTTTAAAATTTTTTTAGAGATGAGGTCTCACTATGTTGCCCAGGTTTGTCTCAAACTCCTGGGCTCACACAGTCCTCCCACCTTGGCCTCCCAAAGTGATGGGATTATAGGCATGAGCCACGGTGCCTGACCACTGCCTGGTTCTATAAAGAAAGTTTGTATAAACACAGCCACATCTATTCATTTATGTATCATCTATGACAGCTCAGAGACCATGTAGTACACAAAGCCTAAAATATGTACTACCTGGTCCTTTACAGAAATAGTTTGCCAACGCCTGATATATCATCTGTGAATAATAGTGTTTTCTTCTTTCCAATCCATATATAATTGTTTTCTTCCTTCTTTTATTGCACCAACTAGTACCCTCCCCCGCTTCACCCACCCCATGACACTGATGAACAGTAGTGGTAACAGTGAGCAAGCTCTCCTTCCAGATTTTAAGGAGAAATCTTCTTAAGGTTCACCATTTTAAAATGTGCTATAATTTTTTAGTATATACTTTTGATAAATTTCCTTCTATCTCTAGTTAATTAATGATTCAGGAGTTTCATTGAGGTATAACTTACATGCCATAAAACTCACTCATTTTAGGTGTAAATTAAGTTTTTTTTTTTTTTTTTTTGAGACAGAGTCTCGCTGTGTCGCCCAGGCTGGAGAGCAGTGGCGTGATCTTGACTCACTGGAACCTCCACCTCCTGGACTCAAGCAATTCTCCTGCCTCAGCCTCCTGAGTAGCTGGGATTACAGGTGCCCACCACCACGCCCTGCTAATTTTTGCATTTTTAGTAGAGACGGGATTTCACCATGTTGGCCAGGCTGGTCTCAAACTCCTGACCTCAGGTGATCCACCCTCCCTCGGCCTCCCAAAGTGCTGGGATTACAGGTGTGAGCCACCATGCCAGGCCGCAATTAAGTAATTTTTTAGTAAATTTACAGAGCTGTGCAATCATCAACACAATCCAGTTTTAGAACATTTTCATCACCTTAAGAGATTCCTCCTGCCCATTAGCAATCACTTTCTGTTCCCACTCTCAGCTCCAGGCAACCACTAATCAACTTTCTGTCTCTATAGATTTACCTATTCTAGATATTTCATATAAATAGAATCGTACAGTAAGTAGTCTTTTGCAAGTTGGCTTTTTTCACCCAGCATAATTTTTTGAGGTTCATCCATGTCATAGCATGTATCAATTATTTGTTCGTTTTCATTGCTAAATAGAATTCTGTTGCATACATCCACCACATTTTGTTTATCTATTTACCACTTGCTGGATATTTGGATTGGTTCCATTTTTGCTTATTATGAGTGCTACTATAAATATTCATGTACAAGTCTTTGTGTGGCCATATATGTTCATTTCTCTTGAATAGATATCTAGGAGTGGAATTGGTGGATCATATGGTAACTCCATGTTTAACATTTTATGAAACTGCCAAATTGTTTTCTAAAGTGGCTATTCCATTTTACATTCCCACCAGCAATGTGGGTTTCAGCAATCAGGGTTCCAGTTTCTCCATATTCTTGCCAATACTTGTTATTAATTAATAATATGGAGTCTTCGAATCCATGAACATGGACTATCTCCCCATTTATTTACAACTTCTTATATTCCCTTTAGCAATGTTTTATAGATTTCAGTGTACAAATCTCATACCTCTTTTGTTAATTTTATTCCTATGTATTTTACCCTTTTTGATGCTATTGTGAATTAAATTATTTTCTTCATTCATTTTTGGATTGTTCATTGCTTATAAGTAGAAATACAATTGATTGTATATCTTGTGAATTTACTAAACTTGTTTATTAGGTCTAGTGGATTTCTTGGTAGGTTCCTTACTATTTTCTGTATACAGAAACATATTTCCTGCATATGAAGACAGTTTACGTCTTCCTTTCTATTCTGAATGCCTTTTCTTTTTTTTACCTGATTGCACCTCCAGTGCAATGTTGCACCTCCAGTATAATTTCAAAAAAAAGTGGTGAGAGCCTTGCTTCCCATCTTAGGGGGAATGCATTCAGTCTTTCAATGTTAAGCAAGATTCTTAGCTTTTGAATACATTCCCTTTTATGCCTAGTTTTATCACAAAGAGATTTTGTCAAGTGCTTTTCTGTCTTGATTATCATATGGGTTTTGACCTTTATTAGTATAATGTATTACATTAACTGATTTTGGGAGTTAAACCAACCCTGTATTCCTGGGATAAATTCCACTTGGTGATGACATAAAAATGTTTATATATATTGTTAGATTTGCTAATATTTTGTTGAGGATTTTTCCATCCTTTTTTTTTTTAGGAATATTTGTGGTTTCTATTCTTTTTTTTTTTTTTTTTTTTTTTTGAGATGGAGTTTCACTCTTGTGCCCCAGGCTGGGGTGCAATGGTGTGATCTTGGCTCACTGCAACTTCCACCTTCTGGGTTCACATGATTCTCCTGCCTCAGCCTCCTGAGTAGCTGAGATTACAGGCATGCACCACCACACCCAGCTAATTTTGTATTTTTAGTAGAGGTGGGGTTTCACCATGTTGGCCAGGCTGGTCTTGAACTCCTGACCTCAAGTGATCCACCCGCCTTGGCCTCTCAAAATGCTAGGATTACAGGCATGAGCCACCACACCCAGCCCTGTAGTTTCTATTCTTATGGTGTCTGTCTGGTTTTGGTATCAGGATAATAGTAGACTCAAAGCATGAGTTGGAAAATATCCTGTCTCCTCTATATTCTGGAAGAGTTTGTGAAGGACTGTTATTATTTACTATGTAAATATTTGGTAGAATTAATCAGTGAAGCCATTTGATTCTGGGCTTTTCACTGTGGGAGTATTTTTAAATTACCAATTCAGGCCAGTCACAGTGGCTAACACCTGTAATCCCAGCACTTTGGGAGGCCGAGGTGGGCAGATCACTGAGGTCAGGAGTTTGAGACCAGCCTGACCAACATGGTGAAACCCTGTCTCTACTAAGAATACAAAAATTAGCCAGGGGTGGTGGTGGATGCCTGTAATCCCAGCTACTTAGGAGGCTGAGGCAGGAGGATCACTTGAACCTGGGAAGCAGAGGTTGCAATGACTCCATCTTAAAAAAAAAATTACCAATTCAATATCTTTACTTGCTGTAGGTCTATAAGTCAATAGATTTTCTATTTATCTTAAGTCAATTTCAGTAATTTGTGACTCCTTAGGTGTCTATCTGTTCATCTGTGTTGCCTAATTTGTTGCCATAAAGTTGCTCATAGTACTCCTTATTAATCCTTTTAATTTCTGTAAGGTTGGTTATGATATCTCCTCTCTTTTGTTTTTAATTATGACTAAATGTTGAATCTTATTCCTCATTTGAAACAATCATACAGATTTACCCATTTTATCTGTTAATGTGGGTAATTATATTAATACAATTTCTATTGATAAACCATCTTTTCATTCCTTGAGTAAGCCCAACTTGGTCATGATATTTACTATAATGTAGGGTTCAATTTCTTTGCATTTAGAATATTTGTATTTACATTCATATTACAGATTGGTCTTTCTTTTTTTTTAATATTATCTTTGTTAAGTTCGGGTATCAAGGTCATACTAATTTTATACATGATGTAAGAATTCCCTTTTTCAATAATCTGATCAGTTTAATAAAATTAGAATGTTCTCTCTTATTTGCAATATTTGGTAGAAGTCACCTGTAAAACTGACAGACCTGCTCTTTTATTAGTACTGTAGGTAGTTTTTAACTCATTTTTTCCATTTCTTTAATGGCTGTGGCAGAGGTGATATTCAGAATATTTAAATAACAAGCACCGCATGAACACTTGCCAGTCAGAATAGATGCAGATGGCTGTGCTGGAACAGGGTCCTGGAATCGCCATATTGTGTAAGGGGGACTTTTGCTGCTGAATCATGGGAAGGTTTTGTGGGAGGTATCTCTAGAAGAGGGGCCTGGGTAGTCAGAGGGTGTCAGAGGGTAACTCAGGGCAGTGCCTATTTACGAATTGGTATGGAAGAAGTTCAATCTTTTAACAGTACTTCAGCTGAACCAGTACATATTGGCTAAATATTAGTCCTAGTAATAGGTCTATTTCAGGTTTTCTATTTCTTCCTTGGCCAGTTTTGCTAAGGTGTATTTTTTTAGTAAACTGGCTATTTCATCAAAGTTTTCAAGTATATAGGGATAAAGCTCATCTATCATCTTCTTCTATATTGTTGTCTCCTTTTTATTGCTGATATTAGTTATTTATGTCTTTTTTCTCTTGATGAATCTTGCCAGAGAATTGCCTATTCAATTAGCTTTTTTCAAAGAGCAGGCTTTTAAAAATCCTCTATTATATTTTCATTTTTGACATCATCAATTTTATGCTTTTACACTTATCATTTCCATACATCTACTTTCATCGGGTTTATCCTTTTACTTTTTTCCAGTTTTTTGAGTAAGATGCTTAGTTCATCAATTTTCAACCTGTCTTCAGTATGATTTCTTCTTTGATCCATAAATTATTTAAAAGTGAGTTTATAAGTCTCTAAACATGAGAATTTTTAATTAATAACTAAATGATACTAAGAACAGGGAAAATGGTTTGTGTGATAATAGTTCTTTGGTACCAGCTGAAACCTACTTTGTAGTTCAGTACATGCTCAATTTTTGTACTGGTTCTAAGTTTGCTTCAGAGGATGTTTTCACTAGTTGTTGGTAGCAGAAATCTAAATATGTGTAATACATCAAGCTTATTAATAATATTTAAATCTTCCACAGCCTTATCCATTTTTGTTTGTTGTTGTTGTTATTTTTCTTTTTTGAGACAGAATCTCACTCTGTCACCCAGGCTGGCCCACTGCCACCTCTGCCTCCCAGGTTCAAGCGATTCTCCTGCCTCAGTAGCTGGGATTACAGGCGTGTGCCACTAGGCCCTGCTAATTTTTGTGTTTTATTTATTTTTGTTGTTGCTGTTGTTATTGTTTTGAGACAGAGTCTGACTCTGTGGCCCAGGCTGGAGTACAGTGGCACAACCTCGGCTCACGGCAACCTCTACCTCCTGGGTTCAAGTGATTCTCCTGCCTCAGCCTCCCAAGTAGCTGGGATTACAGGTGCCAGCCACCACGCCTGGCTAATTTTTGTATTTTTAGTAGAGATGGGGTTTCTGCGTGCTGGCCAGGCTGGTCTCAAACTCCTGACCTCAGGTGATCCACCCACCTCGGCCTTCCGAAGTGCTGGGATTACAGGTGTGAGCCACCACACGTGGCCTAATTTTTGTATTTTTAGTAGAGATGGAGTTTCACCATGTTGGCCAGGCTGGTCTCCTGACCGCAAGTGATCTGCCCACCTCAGCCTCCCAAAGTGCTGGGATTACAGGCGTGAGCCACCATGCCCGGCCCATTTTTGTCTATCTTATCTAGATAAGTAAATGAGAGAATGCTGTTAATATTTTCCACTGAGATGGAGATTTCTCACTTCTTTCTTGTAATTCTGTCCACTTTTACTTTTTATAGTTTTATGCTATGTTTTTAGGCGCATACAAGCTTTTATATTTTAGTGAAATTAATCTTTTGTTATAGTACCTTTTTATCAGTAATGCTTTTTGTCTTAAACTTTATTTTGTTTGCTATTAATGTAGCCACAACTGTTTTGTCTTTGACGTATAATTGTTTGTTTTTTCTCATCCTTTTACTTTCAACTTTTCTAGGTTTGTATGTTTTAACTGTGTCCCTTACAAAGAAAATACAGTTCTGTTTTATTTTTAATCTAATCTAACACTGTCTATTTTTAACTGGACAGTTTAGCCCATATACGTTTATCACAGTTATTAATATTTGGATTAAAGCTTAGGTTATCTGCCTACTAGTTTTATGCTTTGTGAAATAACAAAAAATATTTTTCCTGAAATTAAGGAAATTTATTTTGTAAGCTAGTTTTCATCATGAACTATACAACTTGGTCTCCTTCCTGTATAATTTTCTCCAACTTTTTAGTTGCAGTATATGACTAGTTTTGTGCTTCCTAATTTACCTGTTCTTTTAAATAATTATCTTTTTTCCTTCCCTTCTCTGCTTCTATGGGATTGATCATGTTTTATTAGTTTTTTACCCTCTACTAATTTGGAAGTTACATTTATATTTCTATTCAAATTTTATTTCTAAATTTTAGTAAACAAATTCATTTAGTAGGTATGCTTGTCTTTGTCTAAAGATAACCAATAGTTTTTGCCTTCCACTCAAAGAGTATGGGTAGCTAGAAATCTCCAAGAATAGCCCCTCTCTTTTTACATATGACCTCTAAAAAGAATATTTCGAAAATGATGGCCACACACAGTGGCTCATGCCTGTAATCCTTGTATTTTGGGAGCTAAGGCAGGAGGATCACTTGAGCCCAGGAGTTCAAGACCAGCCTGGGCAGCATAGCGAGACCCCGTCTCTACAAAAAATAAAAAATTAGGTGGGCATGGTGGCTCATGCCTATAGTCCTAGCTGCTCAGGAGTCTGAGGCAGGAGGATCACTTAAGCCTGGGAGATCCAGTCTGCAGTGAGCTGTGACTGTACCACTGCACTACAGCCTGGGTGACAATGCGAGACCCTGTCTCAAAAACAACAACAAAAACAAATATACACAGAAATGATCATGGTGTGTTTACTATATTATCATTTCACCATAGCTAGCAAAGCAGGCATATTTTAATTGTTTTTCAAACTTCAACTCTTTAAATATCAATTTCTTTATAAGGAGACATTTTGTTGGAATGTTGCACAACAGAGGCATAACTGGCATTTTAGGTGGGACAACTAGTCCACTGTGCACACTGACCTGTGTACTGCAGGAGGTTTAGAAACTCTGGTCCTTGCTGACTACATGCTAGTAGATAGTTCTCTTCCCCCATAGTGACAACCAAAATTGCCCCACGCTTTATTCCTAAACATTCCCTTTGAGATCAGTACCATTCCAAATGAGAACTACTCTTTTAATGCATGAAAACAAAGAACAAAAATTGCAAAATAAATATATGTAGAATTGAGGGAAGAAAAAGTGAGAAACAGTTTAGTTTCACAGGAGAAATAACAAAAATATTTTTCCTTAAATTCAGGAAACTCTTTTTTTATAAGCCAGTTTTCATCATTAACTATACTACTTGGTCTCCTTCCTGTATAATTTTCCCCAAAATTTTTAGTTGCAATATATGACTAGGTACAATTAACAAAATATATCATCACTTTTTGGTTGCTTTTCCTAAAGCCAGTTTCCTTCTTGAGGCTAGGACAGAACACTGAATTTGTTCACCATCTTTAAAAAAAATGTTTTTGTTCATAATCCTAACATGGTCTCCTATTCACAAACCTGTTAGTGTCCCAAATAATGACATTTCCATCAAATCCTGATGTTACTAAGAGTCTTGTATTAGTATCATATTCGATGTTCTTCACCCAGCTAGTGTGACCATGTAAAGTGCATACTTTGGTGTTCAATTTTCTCAGATCCCATAGTGCTATTGTAGTGTCATCAGAGCAGGTAGCAAACAGCCGGTTATCAAGAAATCTATAAAAGCAGAAAAACAAAACCCTGGTTCATTTAATCTCTTTTTAAAGGAAAATTGATTTGAGAAACAGTCACTATATTACCTAGTCAAGAAAGAAAGAAAAAAAGGACTACACACTCACTATGTAAACCCAATGACTGATATACTATAAAAAGTATACTTTGCATAATCACAGAGCCAGGATACTATGATTTAATGACAGTCATATTGCAATTGGATCCATTTGCTTTAAATTACTGATTTTTATTTGAAATTGGAAATAGGGGTAAGTGTTTGGAAAACAGTGACAGAAGGGAAAAAAAGAACTTCAGAATCTCTATAGGAAACAAAAATGATGAGAGAGAATTTAATAGGCGATAGAGGAAGTTTTGAAGACTTGATTGCCGAGAGGGACACATTACACATAATCAAAATCATGAGAAATATTTGCTCTGCTACAAGGAACATCTTTTTCTATTTAGAACACAGTTACATACAAAAATTGCTATAAAATTGCCATTATTTTAAATCTTTTAACTGAAAGGTATTTCCCAAATAATCTCTTAGCAACATTTTATTAGGACCAATCAAGAAAATTACAAAATAGGCTTAAAATACTCTATAATTCAGACTTTTTATTATTTTACACTAACTTCTCAATCCTTAGTGAGAATATATTTAATACAAATACTTAAAAAATAAACTACTATTCACACTTGAATTTTTGCTTAATTTAACATTAGGATGCTTTCTGTAATACATGCTGTTATCCTAATCTCTTACAGAAGAAATGAATTCTGGTGCTTCTTCTAAGATAAATTTACATATAATTGTCAGAAATCAACCTCAATATCCACAAACACCATAACGACCTTCCTAAAATTGATCACGGTTTTCAAATACCAGGCGTTTACACAGGTTGTTTCTGCTAGGTGAAACAACCTTCCTCCTGCCCCTGGATCTGGCTAATTCTTGCTTTCTTTTTAATACCATCATGTGTCACTTAATGATGGAATACATTCTGAGAAATGTGTCCTTAGGTGATTTTGTTGTTGTGTGAACATCATAGAATGAACTTACACAAACCTAGATGGTACACACTGAGGTTATATGGTATATATGGTATATAGCCTATCACTCATAGGCTACAAATGTGCACAGCATGTTACCATACTAAATACTGTAGGCAACTGTAACACAATCGTAAGTATTTGTATATTGAAAGATAGAAAAAATACAGTAAAAGTACTGTATAAAAGATTTAAAATGTTACGCCTGTATAGGGCACTTACCATGAATGGAGCTTGCAGGCGTGGGAGTTGCTCTGGGTGAGTCAGTGAGTGAGGGGTGAGTCAGTGTGAAGGCCTAGGGCATTACTGTCCATTACTGTAGACATTATAAAGACTGTACACTTAGGCTACACTAAATTAATTTAAAAATTTTTCATCAGTAATAAATTAACCTTCGATTACTATAACTTTTTTTACTTCATGAATTTTTAATTTTTTAAACTTTTGACTCTTTTGTAATAACAGCTTAAACACAAACACATTGTACAACTGTACAAAAATATTTTCTTTCTTTATAGCCTTATTTTATTAACTTTTTTCTATTAAAATGTTTACTTTTTAAACTTTTTTGTTAAAAACAAAGACACACATTAGCCTAGTTCTACACAGGGTAAAAATCATCAATATCACTGTCTTCCATCTCCACATCTTGCCCCACTGGAAGGCCTCCAGGGGCAATAACAGGAACAGAGCTGTCATCTCCTGATAACAATGGCTTCTCCTGGAATACCTCCTGAAGAACCTCCCTGAGGCTGTTTTACAGTTTAATTTTTTTTTAAGTAGGAGTACATTCTAAAATAACAATAATAAGTATAACATAGTAAGTATTAGGCAATAGGAATTTTTCAGCTCCATTATAATCTTCTGGAACCACTGTTGTATATGGTGTCACTCACTGAAATGTTGTTATGTGGCATATAACTGTATTCAGCTGTTATGCCCTCCAGGAAGCCTTCCTTGTTTAACCAGCCTGGTAGACCTACCAATTCTCTGAGCTCCCAAAGCATTCTGGGAGCTTCTATCATAATACTTAATATTATACTGTAAGGAACAACTTTACTGTAAACTCCCTGAAGACAGAAGGAACCTGTCTGCCTAGGGTCATGGTTAGATCTGCAGTATACAATACACATGGTGCCAGACACATATGCACTCAACAAATACTTACAAAATAAATGAAAGAGAAGTTCACTGCCTAGCAGAAAAGACACTGTAAGTACATAATTACACGAAATAATTGTGTGGAATAAGCAAAGAGGGTGGCTGGGAAAGACTTCATGATGTTATCATTTGAACTGAATAAAAGATGAGCAGGAACTCCCTAAGTGGTCAGGGTTACTAAGCAAAGATACACAGGCATGTGAGCGGATGGTGCCCTCTGAGAAGCAGCAGTTAGGAGTGCTGTGTGTGGGAAAGTAGAGATGACTAGGGAATACATTATGGATTTATTCTATGGTGATTACCAGTAACTATTTTTTAATTATAAAAATACATTTCCTGGCCAAGCGTGGTAGCTCATACCTATAATCCCAACATTTTGGAAGGCCAAGATGGATGGATCACTTGAGCTCAGGAGTTTGAGACCAGCCTGGGCAACATGACGAAACCCCATCTCTTATTTTAAAAATAACGATAACAAAAAACATTTCTACTGAAAATATTTTTAATGAAAAAAAATCGGCTGGGCGCAGTGGCTCACGCCTGTAATCCCAGCACTTTGAGAGGCTGAGGCGGGTGGATCACAAGGTCAGGAGTTCAAGACCAGCCTGGCCGAGATGGTGAAACCCTGTCTCTACTAAAAATACAAAAAAAATTAGCTGGGCATGGTGGCGGGCGCCTGTAATCCCAGCTACTCGGAGGCTGAGGCAGAGGCAGAGAATTGCTTGAACCCGGGAGGCGGATGTTGCAGTGAGCTGAGATCGTGCCACTGCACTCCAGCTGGGGCACAGAGCAAGATTCCGTCTCAAAAAAAAGAAAAAGAAAAAAAAAATCCATCACCAAAAATAACCACTTTATTGATGTTTAGCTTAATTTCTGTTTTAAACCTAATATTATCTCAAAAACATATTGCCATTATTAAAGGTTTATTAACAAAATCATGTTTAATGGCTGAATAGTGTTCACTGTATGAAGAACTGAAACCTTTTTTCTTTTTAATTTTTTTTTTTTTGGAGACAGAGTCACGCTTTATCCCCCAGGTGCTCACTGCAACCTCTACCTCCTACATTCAAGTGATTCTCATGCCTCAGCCTCCAGAGTAGCTGGGATTACAGGTGCCCGCTGCGATGCCCAGCTAATTTTTGTATTTTTAGTAGAGACAGGTTTTGTCAGGTTGGCCAGGCTGGTCACAAACTCCTGACCCTCAGGTGATCTGCCTGCCTCGGCCTCCCAAAGTGCTGGGATTACAGGAGTGAGCCACTGTGCCCGGCTTCTTTTTAAAATGAATATGCAATTTTTGGGTGTTTGGATTGCTTACAATTTTTTACTACTAAAAAACACTAAGATGAGCATACTTACAGCCAAATATTAATCACATCCCTATGTATTTCTCTAAGTATATTTCCAGAAAAACATATTGCTAAGTAAAATGAGATTTTTTTAATGTAAGTTTTTTTTAATGTAGCCAAATTGTTCTCCAAAAAATCATACCAATATGGAGTTGCATCAGCAGTTAGGAGAGTGTCCATTTTCCCAAATCCTTGCCACATAGGTCTTTAAAAAAACTTTCTCCTAAGTGCTAGGAAAAAAATCATCTTGTTTTAAGTTGAAACTTTTATGTTTAGTAAAGTTGAAACTTTTTCACATTTATTAGAAAAATATATTTCTTTGCTGTTCATGTTCCTTGCTGATTTTACAACTGCAGTATTATTTTAATTACTGAGTTGTAAAAAAAATCTTTAAAGATAATATATCCGTTTTTCAAACACTGTGCATTGCATATATTTTCCACATATTTCTATCTTTTATATGGTTTATGTTTTCTTCCCATATCAAAATTTTAATTTTTTTTTTTCTTGAGACAGGGTCTTGCTCTGTTGCCTGGGCTGGAGTGCAGTGATGATTATGGCTCACTGCAGCCTTGACCTCCCAGGCTCAAGCAACCCTCCTTGTCTCAGCCTCCTGAGTAGCTGGGACTATGGGCACATGCCACCATGCCCAGCTAATCAAAATTTTAATTCTTTTTTTTTTTTTTGACACACAAGCAGTATGTATTCAACACACTGATACCTGATAGCATGTCAGGAAAAGAGAACAGGCAATGCAGTTTAAGGGGGGAAAAACTGAGAAGTCATAACTACTCCAAAGATGTGAAGGAAACCACAAAAGACATGGACCTGCTTCTACTATAAAAAGAAAATGAAGCACTTCTCTGGGGTTGCTATACCAACTGTTTCAGCCCATTGTAGTCTTGCCTCTTTCAGGGCTTTAGCCACTATTTCATTTCATGGAAAAGCAGACATCTCCTAACAAACAGAGTGACATTTACCAAAAGAAAGAGGGCTTATCAATGAGAAGCTTAGTAAAGAAAAATATTTACCTATGCTTTGCACAATTTTCTTTTCTTTTTTTTTTTTTTTTTTGAGATGGAGTCTCGCTCTGTTGCCAGGCTGGAGTGCAGTGGCGCGATCTCATCTTACTGCACCCTCCATCTCCCAGGTTCAAGGGATTCTCCTGCCTCGGCCTCCTGAGTAGCTGGGATTACAGGCACGTGCCACCACGTTCAGCTAATTTTTGTATTTTTAGTAGAGACGGGGTTTCACCGTGTTAGCCAGGATGGTCTCCATCTCCTGACCTCGTGATCCGCCTGCCTCGGCCTCCCAAAGTGCTGGGATTACAGGTGTGAGCCACCGTGCCCGGCCTGCTTTGCGCAATTTTCAAAAGCCATTATTTCTATGCAATTTTGGGTACTTACTACAGTGCTGGATGCAAAGTTTATGCAGTAAAAGCTTATTGAATGAATGAATCACAGGATAAATAATACAACTAGTAATTTCTTAAGATCATAAATTCCATTACAGTAACCCTGGTAGGCAACTCTATAAAGTTCTGGGCTCCAAGAAGAGGTCAGTGCATGCCATAAATGTGTTTGATCTACTGTGAAGTATATTCACAGTCTTCAAAATGTAACGCTTAAATGAGATAAAATTGGTTGGTTACCACCCCCAAATTAGCATATGCCAGCCTGCACAAAGGTAAATAGCAAAAACTTTAACTGCTCAATCTGAATTAACCAAAGATTCCTTCTAGGAATCTTAAAAAAAAAAAGTAAGGGTGTGAACACTTCAAGCACTTATTTTCAGATGCATCAACTGACATAAATTAAAAATGGTACAAACTAATAATTGAACACCAGTAGCATAACAAAATAGAATTTTCACTCTTTCCGCTTTGAGTCAAAGTGGTTTGCTCATGTTTGTTGAAATCAGAACTGAAACAATGACATGTACAAAAAAGAGTAGATAAAAGTGGTTCTTGCATTAAAGTTCCATTCCCTGCTCTCAGCTGATGAGGGCACGAGAACTCAATAGAGCAGTTAGGGCAGACTCAAATCATCTCAGCTGGAAGCACTCTCCACTTAAACATACTCATCTGGCCCACCCTCATTTCAAATTCAGGCAAAAATGGCCTCCCTGAGGCTTTAAGACTTGCTTTCTTCTTTTTCTTCTGATAGTGTTTCCCAGATTGGCTCCTTGATGTGTTCTGGTAACTGTTCTAATTGTGTCTTTGTTACTTCCATGGCAACCCTTTCAGGTAAGTTTCGCTGAATATATTCCACGTAGACATCTGCTGTGCTTCCAGTTAGATGTTCTAACTCTAAACATCTGTAAAGTGTTCTCATTTCATACTGAACTCCGTGCTTCTTATAAATATGCACTGATATGAGAAGAGTAAATCGCTCTATTTTCCTTGGAGGTTCGTGTACTTTAATAGAGATACCAAGTTCTTTAGCATCAAGCACAGCAAAATATTCATAACTGTCCAATACAGCCTTACCGTGGCGGCGCGGACGGCGTTTGGGGCCGTGTGCCGGCGCCTCTGGCAGGGATTGGGGAATTTTTCTGTAAACAGTTCTAAGGGCAATATAGCCAAAAATGGTGGCTTTCTTCTCAGTACCAATATGAAGTGGGTACAGTTTTCAAACCTACACGTTGATGTTCCAAAGGATTTCACCAAACCTGTGATAACAATCTCTGATGAACCAGACACATTATATAAAATTTTAATTCTTATATTGTCAAGTCCATCTTTCCCTTATAGATTTACCTTTACTGATAATGTTTTTTGTTGTTGTTGTTTTGAGACTGAGTTTCACTCTTGTTGCCCAGGCTGGAGTGCAATGGCGTGACTCTCAGCTCTCTGCAACCTCCGCCTCCCGGGTTCAAGCGATTCTCCTGCTTGAGCCTCCTAAGTAGCTGGGATTACAGGTGCCCGCCACCACGCCCAGGTAACTTTTTTTTTTTGGACGGAGTCTCACTCTGTCTCCCAGGCTGGAGTGCAGTGGCGCGATCTCGGCTCACTGCAACTCCACCTTCCGGGCTCAAGTCATTCTCCTGCCTCAGCCTCCTGAGTAGCTGGGATTACAGGCGCCCACCATCACACCCGGTTAATTTTTGTATTTTCAGTAGAGACAGGGTTTCACCATTTTGGCCAGGCTGGTCTCAAACTCCTGGCATCAAATGATCTGCCTGCCTTGGCCTCCCAAAGTGCTGGGATTACAAGCGTGAGCCACCACACCCGGCCCCAGCTAATTTTTTTTACATTTTTAGTAGAGACAGGGTTTCAACATGTTGGCCAAGTGGGTTTTGAACTCCTGACCTCAACTGATCTGCCCACTTCGACCTCCCAAAGTGCTAGGATTACAGGTATGAGCCACTGCGCCCGGCCCTGATGATGCTTTCTAAAGTAAAACTAGTTCAATGACTTCCATATTTGACAGAAATTATGTGACTGAGACTGAGCACAGTGGCTCACACCCATAATCCCAGCACTATGGGAGGCCGAGGCCAGCTGATCTCTTGAATTCAGGAGTTTGAGACCAGCCTGGGCAACATGATGAGACCTCGTCTCTATGAAAAATACCAAAATTAGCCAGGTGTGGCACGAGCCTGTAGTCCCAGCTACTCAGGAGGCTGAGGCAAGAGAATCTCTTGAGCCAGGGAGGCGGAGGTTGCAGTGAGTCGAGATAGCACCACTGCACTCCAGCCTGGGCGACATGAGTGAAACCCTGTCTCAAAAAAAAAAAGTACGTGATTGAGAAAAATACGTACAAAAAATATTTTCTAAAAAGCTACTGGAAAGTTAAAGTTTTAAAATAAATTGAGCATATTCATACATTTGAAAAGTTTTTAAAAAATAACAAAGATATTTTATTCGGTCTACAGAAAATACTTAATGCACAGATGGATTTAAAACCCCAGTGGGGTTATATTGCTGTAGGCCACAGTGGTCTGAGAGTTTTAAGGAAGAGAGATTATTAGAATGAGAGTTTCAGAAAGATCTCTGAACTGGCTAGGTTTCCAGACTGTTGGACTTTCATAAAAAATAGGGGGATTAGCTTTTTAATTTTTCTTAATAAGGTCATTTAAAAAACTATAATTGTTGCATGAAAGGATATTTTAATACCAAAAATATAGAAAAATATAAAGTTGGAATAAAAGCTAATAGTTTTGAATTGAATAAGTTTAATGAGAAATTCAATACTTTGACTTTAATTGGCTCATTTTTGCCTCAAAATATTACTTATTAAAAACTTTGATATTGGAAGTTGCTGTTTAGTAAAACATAAATTTAAAAAAAGATGGCTGGGCACAGTGTCTCACTCCCGTAATTCCAGTACTTTGGGAGGTCAACAAGGGCGGATCACCAGAGCTCAAGTTTGAGACCAGCCTGGGCAACATGATGTAACCCCATCTCTACTAAAAATATGAAAATTAGCCAGGTGTGGTGACGCCTGCCTGTAATATCAGCTACTCGGGAGGCTGACGCAGGAGAATCGCTTGAGCTGGCGGGGCGGAGGCTGCAGTGAGCCGAGATCGCACCACTGCACTCCAGCCTAGGCGGCAAAGCAAACAAAAAAAACTTTGGTATTGGAAAATCACTGATAAAGAGAAAAAAATTGTAGAATATTAAGAATGTACACTAGGAGATAAATTAAAGCACCTAGAACAATTTTTATCCCAAAATCAACAGATGCAGAGAATGTAGCGTTAGACAAATCCTTCGATATGTGGGCCTAGTCCTCTCAAAACTCAGTCTAGCTTAATAAGTTAATAATTGTAAAATATTTATAACTCCACAGACCCCAATAAATAAGAGACAACCCTTCAAACACACTGAAATCTGTGTCTCTGAATCACAGAACTTCTCCAAATGTCCCCATCAAACCCCAGCATACATGACTGTAACAGCTATGGGTAAGCTGACATCTGGACAAATTCAAGGTCTTCATTGTCAGATGATATGGTAAAGGATAAAAGAAACTGAAAATGAATTCTATTAAAATGGGTACTAACATTTCATTGTATAAATGAAAGTGTTGTTGAGTCTATATCTTAAAAAAAAATTAAATGAAAACTCATGAAAATAACATTTTCCTATTTAACTACAGACGATCCCCCACTTAAAATTGTTTGACTAACAATTTTTTGACTTTATGATGTTTATCTGGGTATTAAATTTATTTTGACTTCCAATATTTTCAACTGACAATGGGTTTATTGGGAGATAATCCCATCAGAAGTTGAAGAGCATCTGCATATGCAAATTCTCAGAACAAGAATAATTAAATGTTTGGCATTTTTTACTTAATCTTCCCAATGAAATAATGATAGCAGAATATGACATCCTTACTTCATATTTGAATTTGTAGTATAATCAAAAAGAAGGTCATTTCAGCTCACGCCTGTAGTCCCAACACTTTGAGCGAGGTGGATTGCTTGAGGTCAGGAGTTCAAGACCAGCCCCGGCAACATAGAGAAACCCTATCTCTACAAAAGATTAGCCAAGCCTGTAGTCCCAGCTATTGAGAGGCTGAGGCAGGAGAACTGCTTGAGCCCAGGAGGCAGAAGTTGCAGTGAGCAATGATCGTGCCACTGCACACCAGCCTAGTCTAGGTAACAGAGCAAGACCCTGTCAAAAAACAAAAACAAAAACAAAAAATAAAAAACAAAACAAAACCTAAAACAGAGAGTCATTTCTGTATAAATATTCAAGGGCCTCATCAATTTTCCCAAGAGCCTTTTTCCTTAGTCCTGTGAGTTATTCACATAATGCTTTGAGGTGTCTATCATGTCATAATTGATGTCATTTTCTTTAATTGATCACTACTCTTAATTCTATGATATCATTATCTGCCAGTGATTTTATATTACTTGACCAGTTCTCTAACATAATTTTCAGGGTTTTGCAAAATTCTGCATCCTTTGTAAGATAAGAAATTTCGTGTTCCCACTGACACAGCACTACATTTGCATTATATAGTTTGAAATTTAACAATCAGCAGCACGCCAACAAAGACAGTGGGAGGGAGAAATAGATCCTGGGATATATTTAAATGGGTATCAATTTTTTTTTTTTTTTGAGACGGAGTCTCGCTCTTGTTGCCCAGGCTGGCATGCAATGGCGTGATCTCGGCTCACTGCAACCTCCACCTCCTGGGTTCAAGCGATTCTCCTGCCTCAGCCTCCCAAATAGCTGGGATTACAGGCACCCGCCACCATGCCCCACTAATTTTTGTATTTTTAGTAGAGATGGGGTTTCACCTTGTTGGCCAGGATGGTCTTGAACTCCTGACCTCAGGTGGTCCGCCCACCTCGGCGTCCCAAGGTACTGGGATTACAGACATGAGCTACCATGCACAGCCTAAATGGGTACTAATTATTATTATTTTTTTTTAGATGGTTCAAGCGATTCTCCTGCCTCAGCCTCCTGAGTAGCTGGGATTACAGGCACCCGCCACCATGCCCGACTAAATAGGTACTAATTTTTTAAATGTAATATCACTAAGTAAATATTTTTATGATGACCTCCGGGCTTCTCCCTGCAACTTCATAACTGGGGGGACCTAGATCTTTTTTTTGTTTTGTTTTTTGAGACGGAGTCTCGCTCTGTCGCCCAGGCTGGAGTGCAGTGGCACAATCTCGGGTCACTACAGCCTCCGCCTCCCAGGTTCAAGCAATTCTCTGCCTCAGCCTCCCGAGTAGCTGGGATTACAGATGCCGGCCACCACGCCCAGCTAATGATTATTAAAGGAACTCTAAATCCACATACAGATCCCTCAGGAATGAGAAGTAAGCCTGTATAATGGGTGTAAGTATTTAAATTACAGACTTTTCCCACTACTTTCCCAAAATATGAAGTAATAGAAAATATTGTCCGTAACTACCAATGTTTTTTATTTTTTTATTTTACAAGATAATAAGCAAACTACAAAACTAAGAAATGAACTAGAAGACATTACCAAGTATGTACAAAATGACCGTCTAGATTCAAACCAGAAAATGCATGCCCCTGTCTCTGAACAGTACAGTGAGGTGATCTAATGGAACTGAGTATGAATTCCAGCTCCACCACTTACTATATCTAAGAACTTGGGCAAATCTCTTTATTTGAGTTATAGTTTTTTATTCCTTAAATAGCTACAATATCTGTCTCACAGAGGGATACTGTGAGGATTAAGTAATGTATAAAAAGTGCTTCACAGAAGGTTTGGCACATAGAAAGCATTAAAAAATGGAAGTTAGTATTATTAATAAATAAAGCACACTTGAGCTCATGCACCAAAGACTCTTCAGATCTTCACTCAAAACTTTCTTTTTTTTTGAGACAGAGTCTCGCTCTATCGCCCAGGCTGGAGTGCAGTGGCGCGATCTCGGCTCACTGCAACCTCTGCCTCCTGGGTTCAAGCGAGTCTCCTGCCTCCCGAGTAGCTGGGACTGCAGGCGTGTGCCACCACGCCCAGCTAATTTTTGTATTTTTAATAGAGACGGGGTTTCACCATGTTAGCCAGGTTGGTCTGGAACTCCTGACCTCAGGCAATCTGCCCACCTCAGCCTCCCAAAGTGCTGGGATTACAGGCATGAGCCACTGCGCCCAGCCAAAACTCTTAAGTTATGTATACTTCTAAACGAGCTTCAAAATCGATTTCTCTAATCAACAGATCAGAAGAAGCAGATTCAAATTTGTAGGCATGAGTTGCTATGGCAGGCATACTGGCAGCAGCAAATGAAGGCTAACATTGATAAATAATACATTCTAATAGCGGATTAGCCAAAGGTTGTTTTGAGTAAAGGCAAACAACTTGGCACAAGTCTTATCTTTCTAAGAAATTTTTAAATTATAACATATTAGCAACATAGAGAAAACTATGAAAAATATAACAAACATCTGTGATACCACTCAGCTTTATCAATTTTAACATTTTATCTTTCACATATTTTTGAACATTACAAACACAGTTGAAGTGCCTTGTATATCCCTCCCCAGTCCCTTCCCTTCTCTTCCTCCCCAGAGGGAACCACTATCCAAAAGTTGTTGTTATTCCCATGTAAATTTTTAATACCATGAATTCATATGTATGTAACCATAAACACTTTATAGTATTGTTTTGCGTTCAGTTTTTTCTCTGTAAATGTTTAATAAGAACCCACCATATGCTAGGCACAATTCTAGATGCTGGGATAGAGCACAGAACAAATACATGCCCTCACCAAGCTTATGTTTGTAATGTTTTCAAATTTTATGTAAATGGTATCACACTATATAAAGCTCATTCTACATTTTTTTCTTTTCTACCTCAACTTTAAATTTCTGAGATGTGTATCAGATGCTGATGCTTTTAGTTCATTTATCTTAACTGATGTATAGTATTTCATTGTATGAGTACACCAGAATTTATTTATCTATTAATATTTCCTCTTGATAGACATTCGTTTCCAACTTCTCTCTATTACAAACAATGCTATAATGAATCTTCTTCATATACCTCCGTGTCCACATATGCATTAATTTCTTTCTTCTTCTTCTTTATTCTTTAAGAGACAGGGTCTTGCTCTGTCACCCAGACTGGAATGCAGTGGTGCAATCATGGCTCCCTGCAGCCTCAAACTCCTGGGCTCAAGCATTCCTCCTAAGCTTTCTAAGTAGCTGGGACTATAGGCACGTGCAACTACACCTGGCTAATTTTTAAATTGTTTGTAGAGACGGAGTCTCACTGTGTTGCCCAGGCTAGTCTTGAACTCCTGCCCTCCAGTGATTGTCCCACCTCAGCCTCCCAAAATGCTGGGATTACAGGTATGAGCCACCATGCCCAGCCTGCATCAATTATTAAAAAAAAATTAATCTTCAGCTTTACCATATATTGCTCAACTGCTCTTCAAAATAATGTTATAAATTTATACTTCATCAGTAATATCTAAGAGTGCCTATTTCTCAACGTTTCGCTGCCGAGAGAAATAGCAAGTATTTTTCTGCCAATACTTGGTATTTACTGTTATTTTTATTTGTACTTCCATAATAAATGATAAGCTTGAACATCTTTCTGTAGTTATTCTTCATTGTAGTTTTTTGTTTTATTTTATTTTATTTATTAATTTTTTTGACATGGAGTCTTGCTCTTGTTGCCCAGGCTGGAATGCAATGGCACAATCTTGGCTCACCGCAACCTCCGCCTCCCGGGTTCAAGTGATTCTCCTGTCTCAGCCTCCCGAGTAGCTGGGATTACAGGCATGCACGACCATGCCCGGCTAATTTTTGTATTTTTAGTAGAGACGGGGTTTCTCCATGTTGGTCAGGCTGGTCTCGAACTCCCTACCTCAGGTGATCCACCCAAAAGTGCGGGAATTACAGGCATGAGCCACCGTGCCCGGCCTGTTCATTGTAGTTTATCTTAGGTGATTCTCTGCCTCTTTTGCTAAAGGGCTATTATCTTATATACTAATACTTTTCTGGTTATGTACATTGAAAATACCTTCTCCCACCAACTATAGCCTATCTTCTCACATTATTATGATGCGTTTGGTTACAATGAAGTTTAAAATTTTTATGCAGTTGAACTGATCAATCCTTAATGATTTATGCTTTTTGTATCTAAAAAAATCCTTTCTTACACTTAGAATACAACTATATTCTATACTTTCTCCTAAAACTTTAAAGCTTTGCTTTCATAATTAGATCTTTAATCTAACTGGAAGTTATTTTCACTTATGGTGTGAAGTAGAGATCTAATTTTATTCTATTTTTTCATATATATAGCCAAACCTCTCTTTTCCATTTCCACCCCGCACTGGTTCATAATGCCCCTGCTATCATATACAACATTTTTATAGATACACAGGTCTGTTTTTGGGATATTCCATTGTCACTTAATCTACTCCTGTTTTAAGACTACATACTATAGGCATGCACCACCATGCCTCGCTCTTGCTGTTCTATATAAGTTTTAAAATCAAGTTTTATGAAAAAGTCTGTTGGTATGTTAACTAAAACTACACTGGATTTATGGAATAATTTGGGGAGAATCAACTTCTTTATGATGCTGACTTTTTGCCTCCAGAGAAGATTTGAATTTGTTTTCCTTTTCTTTTTTCTTTTTTCTGAGAGGGGGTCTTGCTATTTTGCTCAGGCTGTCCATGAACTCCTGGGCTCAGCCTTGGCCTCCCAAGTACCTGGAACTACAGGTGTGTGCCACTGCACCTGGCAGACTTATATTTGTTTTTACAGATACATGACAGTGCTTCCAACCTGAATCCAATTGAAAATTGTTGGCTGGAGATTTTGAACTATATGGTAGTGTGAATTTGGGTCCCACACATGCACGAGTGCTGGATTGTGGTTAGATATTCACAGAGGAGGGCCAGGCACAGTGGCTCATGCCTGTAATTTCAGCACTTAGGGAGGCCGAGGTGGGAGGATCGCTTGAGGTCAGCAGCGTCAGACCAGCCTGGGCAACATAGCAAGACCCTGTCTCTACAAAAAGAAATTTTTTTTAATAGCCAGGGGTGGTGCCACACACCTATAGTCCCAGCTACTCGGGAGGCTGAAATGGGAAAATCCCTTGAGCTATGATCATGCCACTGAACTCCAGCCTGGGCAACAGAGTGGGACTCTGTCTCTAAAATAGAGGGAGACTTTCTCTAAAATAAAATAAAATAAGATATTCAGCTACTTCTGTCCCCAATGCCACAGCCTAGATGAACAGGGTGGTTTATCTCTAGATCACCTTTTTGCTGAAAGTAAGCACTTTTGGGGTCCCAGCCTTATGCAGAGTCACTTTCTACTAAATTCCTCACCTTAAACTGGTTCTAGAATTATCTCTCTTGTTCCCTTTACTTCTCATACTTGTCAAAACAGAAGCTCAAGGTCACCAGCACTTGGCAGAAGCCTCCAGGGTAAAAGCCAACTGAACACCTGTTTACTTCTTTGCATTCCTGATTCCATTTCATTTTTGGCCCATGGATTCCTGTCTTTCTTATCAGCTCAACTACATATTAGAAATATATATATATATTACATTTTATCCAGCATTTGTTTTTAATTAGAAACATTGTTCAGGATATTTTTTGTTCTTAAAAACATATTTGTTTAATGTAAATACATTAACTCTACCACCATTTTGATAACTCTGTTTTGCACCTTTTCTTTTTGTTTTTGTTTTCTACCTGCTTGTTTGCTTGCTTGTTTTTGAGACCCCCAGATGCAGAAGGTGGAGTTAATCATACTTTTATCCTATTGTAGCATATTTTCATCACCAATCTGTGCAAGGTTCCCAGGTCACTTTGTTGTCTAAGCATTTGTTTCCATTTATCCCCACCTCCAACTTTCATTTCCTCCCCTACCCATTTACGCAAGGATTTTGTTCTGATCGCATGTAGTTGCTTCTTATGTTGGTGTTCTTACAAAATAGGTATTGTGGTGGCCGGGCGCAGTGGCTCACCTCTGTAATCCCAGCACTTTGGGAGACCAAGGCAGGTGGATCACCTGAGGTCGGGAGTTCGAGACTACCCTGATTAACATGGAGAAACCCTGTCTCTACTAAAAAATACAAAATTAGCCAGGCGTGGTGGCACATGCCTGTAATCCCAGCTACTTGGGAGGCTGAGGCAGGAGAATCGCTTGAACCTGGAAGGCAGAGGTTGTGGTGAGCCGAGATCGCGCCATTGCTCTCCAGCCTGGGCAACAAGAGCACAACTCCATCTCAAAAAAAAAAAAAAAAAAAAAAGGTATTGTGGTATTTGGGTGTATGTTTTATTTGCATAAATGATAGTGTATTACATATTCTGCTTCTTACTATTTTTTCTCTCTAAAAAACTGCTAGGTTCTGAAATCTCATACATGTGGCACAGGCATTATCTAATCTGGGTTCCCATTGCCGAACATCACCCTGGTGTCATCTGCCACATTTCACCTGTGCATTCTCTCATTGATGGTGGGCACTCAGTTGGCTCCAGTGCTCTCCCACGTACATACACCACACCAAACAACCTCAAACCTGTGGGCTCTTGTGGATCCTATGAGAATGTCTCTGGACTATATACTAAGCAGCATAACTGCTGGGTCATAGCATTAGTAGCCCTAGATCCTTCCAGAAAGGCTATAGCATCCACACCCCATCAGCCATCAAGATACAGAACCCATCTATGCCAACATTTGGCTTATCCAGCTTTTAAATTTTTGCAGTCCAGTAGATGTAAAGTGCCATTTTGTTCTAATTCTCATTTGTGTGATTACTAATAACTTTAAGCTTCTCTTTACATGCATAATAGCTGTAGGGGTTTCCTTTCTATCAATTGTTTGTCCATATCCTTTGCTCATTTTTCTACTGGGGTTGCCCTCCTGATTTTTATTTGCAGGAGTCCCTTGTATATTCTGGGCATTAATCCCTTGTCAGCTTTTAACATTGAAATACCTTTTCTCATTTGTTCAGCTATGCATTAACTCTGTTCATATTGCCTTTTTTTTTTTTAAAGAAATATACCACTTTTTTAAACTTTTTTTTTTTTCTTTTAAGATGGAGTCTCGCTCTGTCGCTCAGGCTGGTGTGCAGTGACGCGATCTCGGCTCACTACAGCCGCCACCTCCTGGGTTCCAGCGATTCTCCTGCCTCAGCCTCCTGGGTAGCTGGGATTACAGGCACGCGCCACCAAGCCTGGCTATTTTTTGTTTTTTTGTTTTTTTGTATTTTTAGTAGAGATGGGGTTTCACTATGTTGGCCAGGCTGGTCTCAAACTCCTGACTTCAGGTGATCCGCCTGCCTCCGCCTCCCAAAGTGCTGGGATTACAGGCATAAGCCACTGTGCCCAGCCACTTTTTTAAATTTTTAAGTTCAGGGGTACATGTGTAGGTTTGTTATATAGCTAAACTTGTGTCATAGAGGTTTGCCGTACAGATTATTTTGTCACTCAGGTATTAAGCCTAGTACTCATTAGTTATTTAACCTGATCCTCTCCCACCTCCCACCCTCCACTCTCTGGAAGGCCCCAGCGTCTGTTGCTCCCCTCTATGTGTCCATGTGTTCTCATCATCTAGCTCCCACTTCTAAGTGAGAACATGCAGTATTTGGTTTTCTGTTCCTGCATTAATTTGCTAAAGATAATGGCCTCCAGTTTTACCCATGTTCCTGCAAAGGACATGATCTCATTCTTTTTTATGGCTGCATAGTATTCCATGGTGTATATGTACTATGTTTTCCTTATCCAGTCTGCCATTAATGGGCATTTAGGTTGATTCCATGTTTTTGCTATTGTGAATAGTGCTGCAATGAACATATGCATGCATGTGTCTTTATTCCTTTGGGTATATACCCTGTAATGGGACTGCTGGGTCGAATGGTAGTTGTTTTTAGGTCTTTGAGGAATCAACACACTATTTTCCACAATGGCTGAACTAATTTACACTCTCACCAACAGTGTATAGGTGTTCCTTTTTCTCCGTAACCTCACCAGCATCTGTATTTTTTTGACTTTTTAATAACAGCCATTTGTTCAGGATATTTTAAAATCTTCTACTGCCTAATTTTTATCTGCTTGATTTATCAGTTTTGGACACACCTGTATTAAAATATCTCACTATAATTGTAGACTTCTAATTCTTTATAATTCTGTTTTTGCTTTGTGTATTTTAAGGCTATATTTAAGGTGCATTCAAGTTCATAATTATTATATCTTCTTGGTAGACTTTTCCTTTTATTAATGTGTACTGTTTCATTTTATCTTTATTAAAGCCCTTGGTCTTTCATCTGTCTGATATTGATAATTTCTATCAGTTTTCTTTTCCCATTTCTCAGTGGTTTTATTTTTGGCATTGCTAAACATATATCAATAGAGCAACAGATAAATAATTTGGCTTTTTATTCAAATTGTTGACTCTTAACAAAGAAAATTAATCTATATTTACTTTGAACTACTCATATATTTGGAACTCTTTCTACTTCTCATTTTCTATATTCTATTTATCATCCCTTTTCTTCATTTAAATTTTTTTTTTTTACTTTTTTAAACTATCCTTTTACTGAACTGATTAAGTTTTCAATATTCTCTTTTGCCCTTCTGCTGCTTTGAGAGCTATAATGGTTTGTATTTCCATTATTTTAGTTAAATCTTTTCAGTTTTTTTCATTACATATATTTAATTATACATTTTGCTAGAAGAGTCTGAATTACTTAATATTTTTATCTTCCTCTTGAACATGAAGAGGGCCTTAACATATTATACCTTCCCACTTAACAAAACTCCCCCGTGCATACAATCTATTTGTTGTTACTATCTAGAACCACACTGTCCAATTTGGTAATGTAGCCATTACCTACATCTGCTTTTGAGTCATTGATAGGCAGGCAGTCTGAATTAAGATGTGCTCTAATGACTGGGCACGGTGCCTGATGCCTGTAATCCCAGCACATTGGGAGGCTGAAGCAGGTAGATCATTTGAGGTCAGGAGTTCGAGACCAGCCTGGCCAACGTGGTGAAACCCCATCTCTACTAAAAATACAAAAATTAGCTGAGTGTGGTGGCACATGCCTGTAATCCCAGCTACTCGGGAGGCTGAGGCACAAGAATTGCTTCAGTCCAGGAGATAGAGGTTGCAGTGAGCTGAGATCACGCCACTGCACTCCAGCCTGGGCAACATAGTGAGACTCTGTCTCAAAAAAAAAAAAAAAAAAAAAAGATGTGCTCTAAGTATAAAATACAAACTGGATTTTGAAGAAAGCATGAAAAAAATGAAAGTAAAATATCTCAATAATTTTTATATTGATTACATGTTGAAATGATAATATTTTGGACATACTGGGTTAAATAAATTATTAAAAATTAATTTTACCTCTTTTCTTTTTTAGTGTGACTACTATAAAATTAAAAATTACATATGTGATTAGCATTACATTTTTATTGGATAGTGCTAATTTAGAGTTTTAGTTTTTATTTTGTTTTACATGTACCCCCCGCCAAAAAAACTCCTAAATTCTTTTCTCTTAATAACAGTTAACATTTTACCTAATTACAATTCTTTAGTCTGGATTAACAGTTTCCCTGGACATAACATGGTATTGAACATTATTTTACCTTCATATTGAAGATATTAATATTACTCCATTTTCTCCTGATATCAACTATTGCTAATGAGAAACCTGTTTCTGTAATTATTGTACTTCTGTAGGTAATCTGGCTTCTAACTTTGGTGGCTTCTAAGATTTTCTCTTGACTTTTGGTATTCTAGAGTTTCACCACAACCTGTCTAGATGCAGATTTATCTTTATTTAAACTGCAAACACTATAAAGTTCACTTTTGATTTGATGTCTCAGGCCCTTCAGCGCTAAAAATTCTCAGCCATTGTTATCTTCAAAAATTTAGTTTTCTACCAATATTTTTCTATAACTATACACTGTAATCTCTCAATTAATCCTGTCTTTCAACTACTTTTTCATATTTTAACCTTTTTTATGTGTTCTGTGTGAATTTTAAGTGCTATATTCTAACTCATTAATTCATTTATCAATAGTGTAAAAGGTAAAGTTTATCCCATCTATTGAGTTTTTTATATACCAACTACATAATTTCTTTTTCTTTCTTTTTATAAGGATAGAGTCTTGCTCTGTCACCTAGGCTGAGAGCAGTGGTGCAATCATAGCTCACTGCTGCCTTGAACTCCTGGGCTCAAGTGATCCTCCTGCCTCAGCCTCTCAAGTTGCTGGGATTACAGGTGCAAGACACCAAGCCCAGCTTGACTTTTTTTTAGTTTTATTTTATTTTTCCATAAGTTATTGGAATACAGGTGGTATTCGGTTACATGAGTAAGTTCTTTAGTGGGAATTTGTGAGACCCTGGTGCACCCATCACCCAAGCAGTATACACTGCACCATATTTGTTGTCTTTTGTCCTTTGCCCAACCTCCCACTCTTCCCCTTAAGTCCCCAAAGTCTATTGTATCATTCTTATGCCTTTATGTCCTCATAGCTTAGGTCCCACATATCAGTGGGAACCTATGATGTTTGGTTTTCCATTCCTGAGTTACTTCACTTAAAATAATAGTCTCCAATCTCATCCAGGTCATTGCAAATGCTGTTAATTCATTCCTTTTTATGGCTGAGTAATATTCCATCATATATATATATATATATATATATATATATATATATATCACAGTTTCTTTATCCATTCATTGATTAATGGGCATTTGGGTTGGTTCCACGATTTGGCTATTGTGAATTGTGCTGCTATAAACATGCGTGTGCAAGTATCTTTTTCAAATAATGACTTCTTTTCCTCTGGGTAGATACCCAGTAGTGGAATTGCTGGATCAAATGGTAGTTCTACTTTTAGTTCTTTAAGGAATCTCCACACTGTTTTCCATAGCGGCTGTACTAGTTTACATTCCCACCAGCAGTGTAGAAGTGTTCCTGATCACCACATCCACACCAGCATCTACTGTTTTTTGATTTTTTGATTATGGCCATTCTTACAGGAGTAAGGCGGTATCGCATTATGGTTTTGATTTGCATTTCCCTGATCATTAGTGATGTTCAGCATTTTTTCATATGTTTGTTGGTCATATGAAGAATTATTCTTCTGAGAATTATCTATTCATTTCCTTAGCCCAATTTTTTAATGGGATTGATTGTTGTTTTTTTTTTACTGATTTGAGTTTGTTGTAGATTCTGGATATTAGTCCTTTGTCAGATGTATAGATTGCGAAGATTTTCTCCCACTCTGTGGGTTGTCTGTTTATTCTGCCAACTGTTCCTTTCGCCATGCCAAATCTCTTTAGTTTAATTAGGTCCCAGCTATTTATCTTTATCTTTATTGCAATTGCTTTTGGGGTTTTGGTCATGAAATCCTTGCCTAAGCCAATGTCTAGAAGGGTTTTTTTTATTATAGTTTCAGGTCTTAGGTTTAAGTCCTTAATCCATCTTGAGCTGATTTTTGTATAAAGTGAGAGATGAGAATCCAGTTACATTCTCCTACATGTGGCTAGCCAATTATCCTAGCACCATTTGTTGAAAAGGGTGTCCTTTCCCCACTTTATGTTTTTGTTTGCTTTGTCCAAGATCAGTTGGCTGTAAGTATTTGGATTTATTTCTGGGCAGCTTGACATTTTTAATTTCTAAGAGTTCTAGCTAGTTCTCTACTACATTGACTTCTTCTTGTTCAATCTCTTTTGTTTCAGTTTTTAAGCTCTCTTTAATTGGAACGTATCCCTTAATTTATTTCTCTGAGCATCCTTAAAAGTTAAAGTTAAAAGCAAAAGTTAAAGGCTTAAAAGTTTCTCCCAATCATTGGAATACCATGCAGCTATTAAAAAGAATAAGGTAATCCCATGGGTATTAATATCAAATGATCTCTAAACATGTTATTAAGTGAAAAAGGCAAGGTAAATAATAATATGTGTAAATGCTACCATTTATATAAAAATGTACATATGTGTGAGTGTGTGTGTGTGTATATATATATATATGTTTGTATATGCAACAATTATCTTAGAAAGGATAGCAAGAAATGGGTAACAGTGGTTGCCTTTGGGGAGGGAAACTGGGTGGCTAGGTGAAAGAGGTGGAGATAGACTTACTTTTCACTGTTTACCCTTTTTGTACCTTTGAATTTTGTACTACATGCATCTATTACTAGTCAAAAATAAATACATAATTTATTTTTTAAAATAAAGTCTTTGTTGAACTGCTCCATAAAATTAATTTCATCCAGAGAAATGAATGTTTTGGTGGCTGATTTTGTTATATTAATATTATATGTCTTTATAAATTTTAGAATTTGGGTTATAGGTTTCTTTTGAATAGAAAAGGTTTTTAATTTCTCTCTCTCCTCCTATTTAATGGTTTCAGAGTTGCTCCCACTTGGCCATCTGGGCCCCCAGTCCACAACTAGGCCTTATAATGACATTTCGGGGCTCCATTTTAATCATGATACTGGAAATATCATACATAGACATTCAGTTACTGACTCAGCAAGTGGCTTCATTCAATAGCTATTGATGAGGCTGTGTTTTTATCAGCTAAAACTTATAGTCTCGGGTAGTGAATAGCTCTTTTCTCTTTTCAGCCTTTCATAAATAAGACAGATATTTTAACCAAACCCCGGACTTCATGTAGTGATTCTGGCTCTGGTTCCTGCCTCGCATGAAACACTTAAGCACTTCTTAATCCTTTTACCTGACAGGAGCAAAACTACTAGCTGTCAGTGCTAGACTGAAAGCCAGCTGGTCTGTGGTTTCAGCCCCGTTTAAAACTTTGTGTCCATGTTTCATTTCTGGCCCACAAAGATGTTTATGTTGTTTCAGAACCTGGCTATACTTTTTGTACTATTTAATTTATTGTTCTATGTGTTTTGAGCATAGGAGTTACATCAAAACACCCAGTATGTTACGTTGACTAGTAATTTACCTATTTCTTTTTTTAGAAAATTAAAAGTAATAATTATAAAAGTAATATAATCTCATTACATAGAAAAAATAGAAAATTACTTATAATCCATCCATTTTAACTACTGTTAGAATTTTAAAATATTTCCTTTTAATCTTTTTCTTCTGTATCATCTATTTGTATAATTCTTATCACAATTTTACCCTGTATTATGCGAAGCATTTGTCTATGTTGCTATGTAGTCTCTATGACCATCATTTTAATGACTGAATATTAATCACCAAACTACTCAATTATAATTCACTTCCCACATTATTGAAAATTAAGGAGCTTCCAATGATGCTACAGAGAAATTGTCTGTGCATGTACTTTTTCCTCTTAACAGTCTGTATTTCTGCAGAGAGTGGTAGGGTGGAAGTGAGAGGTGCTAAGCAATGGGACTGCCATCATTCTACACAAATCATTAGCACAAAGGCATTACAGGACTAGCATAATACATGGCTGAGGTTCATAATGATGACCCTAATATATGAAAAGGTAAAATTATATAGAAGTTAGAAATGTATTTCAGAAACATTCCAATCCAACATAGCTAAGAGTAAGTTTTGTAATTAAAGGATTAGTTTTATAAGGGATTAGATTCACAATTCACAATGTGGATCATCTAGCAGTGCTGGATAAGGCATTAAACATTTTCATTTTCACTAACTTCCAAAACAGAACATTTTGGGCCACACTGATAAAGTTCACTTTTTCACTATAATACTAACCTGATATTATTTACACAGTCTTCATGAGCTTCAGAAAGTGTTTTTATGTGCTTTGAAGATATAGGGTCAAAAAGCAGAACTTCAGTTTGTTCACAAGCAACTGTCAGCACTGACCTGAAAGCAAATGACACATTTATCTTGTTTAGTTTTCTAGCATTCGCTGGTTATTGATGTTCACTTATTTATAATTACACAAGCTATAGGTAAATAACTTTTTTTTTTTGCCCATGTTAGTAGCAAATGTTTAAAAGATTGATACTATCTGTGGTTGGCAAGAGTAGTAGGAAATGGTACTCTCATACATTATCGTGGAGTATAATCTGGTACAGCTTATGTTTGCACAGCACCTCTAAAGTATCAGAATTTAAAATGGGCATATGTTTTGACTCAGCAATTTTTTCTGGGAATTTAATCTAGAGAACTAATTACTTACAAATACAAAGAGACATATAAAGATATGCTTCATTGTAAAAAGGAGAAATTCAAAGTATCTTAAATGTACATGACACAGGGAGTGATTGATTATACAAGCCATAGTACACAATACTTTGAAATACTGTAGAGAAGTTAAAAAGGGGTAGCTTTATATGAATATGAAAGAACTCCAAAACATATTTTTAAATAAAAAAGGTGGTTGCCAAAAAAATGTACATTGATGAGACAACTTACGGGAAATTCATATACAACCAAATTATATATTTCTTCATCACTGTCAATAAAATGTACTGGAAAATATCTGGCATATAACCTATCAGAGCAGTTAAACATAGTCAAACTTATCAGTCTTTTCCTTCATGGTTTTTTAGGTTTGTCTCTTGTTTCAGGCCTTCCCCACTGCAAAGTTATATTTTTATAAACCTTTTACAAACCTTGTTTTGATTTGTGAAAATCTATTGTATTTTATTTTATTTATTTTGATTAAGTATAAGTTTTTTGTGGGCCCTGCTCTTTCAGATTCATTTCATTTCTAGCAAATGAAATCCTGTGTATTTTATACAACTAAGATGAACGTACATAAGATAGAATAAATAGCCAAAAACTTTTCTATTCAGAACAAACTTTTTAGGTAAAGTGGGAGATTAAAAAACAACCATTAAGTTGAAATCTTGGCCGGGTGCGGTGGCCCACGCCTGTGATCCCAGTACTTTGGGAGACCGAGGTGGGTGGATCACAAGGTCAGGAGTTCGAGACCAGACTGGCCAACATAATGAAACCCTGTCTCTACTAAAAATTCAAAAAATGTTAGCCAGGTGTGGTGGTGGGGGCCTGTAGTCCCAGCTACTTGGGAGGCTGAGGCAGGAGAATCGCTTGAACCCAGGAGGCGGAGGTTGCAGTGAGCCAAGATCACGCTACTGCACTCCAGCATGAGTGACAGAGTAAGACTCTGTCTCAAAAAAAAAAAAGTTGAAATCTTTTCTTTATTTACTAATCATGGACTTGTCTGCATAAACCCTTTTTTAAGACATCTGGACTTCAAAGTTTAATAATATCTGAAATTTTTTATGCTAGTCATTGGGAGTAAAAATATTCAAATTAATATTTGTAATTTTTGAAGACATATAAATAGCTATTTCTTTTTGTAAGTCAGAAGAACCCTGAAATGAACTTTTTTCCCTTTTGTGCATAAGTAGTGAATCAATGATTCTGGGAGACTTTTTTTTTTGGTGGAGATGGGATCACACTATGTTGCTCAAGCTGGTCTCAAATTCCTGGCCTCAAGTGATCCTCCCACATCAGCCTCCCAAAACTCTGGGATTACAGGCATGAACCACCAGTCCCAGACTCTGGGAGATTCTTTTTTTCTGAGACGAAGTCTCGCTCTATCACCCAGGCTGAAGTGTGGTGGCGCGACCTCAGTTCACTGCAACCTCCACCTCCCTGGTTCAAGTGATTCTCCTGCCTCAGCCTCCAGAGTAACTGGGATTACAGGCACCCGCCACCACACCCCACTAATTTTTGTATTTTTAATGGAGACAGGGTTTCACCGTGTTGCCCTGGCTGGTCTCAAACCTCAAGTGATCCTCCTGCCTCAGCCTCCCAAATTGCTGGGATTATAGGTGTGAGCCACCACACAAAGCCAACCTCTGGGAGATTCTTAATCTTGAACATTGTATAAAAGGGATCTATAAAACTGTTAGTTATTGCTTTGTTTGAATCAAATTATAGTATATTTTTGTACATGGTATGATATGTATCTTTTAAAATATACATATTTTTTTAAAAGATACATATTGCTTTGTTTATTGCTGGTACACAATTTGTCCCAATATCAAGGCTGATCTTATTTACATTGGTTTATAATGCCATCTTCACTACATACAAGTTTTGTTCTTCGACTGTATATTGGTATTCTATGCAACATCACACTATCTTAATTTCTAGAAGGCTTATGATATATTTGCTATGTGGCAAAGCAAGACTCCCTCATTTGCTTTACTGACACTTTTTCTTGGCTAATACTATGCTTTCTCTTCAAGTAAATTTTATATATACCATGTCAGGTTCTGTTAAAAAATTTTGTTGAAATTTTATTGAAATGCACTGACTTTACAGATTACTTAGGTAGAATTTATATGATACAATATTGATTTACCTCATACAGTAATATGCACATTTTCCCACACATTAAAGATTTTCTTAGAGTATCTGAGTAAATCTTGGATCTTTGACCATCCTTATACAATTAGAATCAACATATCAATTTATGTATACACACACACACACACACACACACACACACACCCCAGGTGCAGATGTTAATTGAGATTATATTAAATCTATTAATACCAAAAGGTTGTGTTGTTTTTTTTTGAGACAGAGTTTTGCTCTTGTTGCCCAAGCTGGAGTGCAATGGCACAATCTCAGCTCACTGCAACCTCTGCCTCCTGGGTTCAAAAGATTTTCCTGCCTCAGCCTCCCAAGTAGCTGGGATTACAGGCATGTGCCACCATGCCCAGCTAACTTTTTGTATTTTTAGTAGAAACGGGGTTTCACCATGTTAGCCAGGCTGGTCTCTAACTCCTTACCTCAGGTGATCCACCCACCTCAGCCTCCCAAAGTGCTGGGATTACAGGCGTGAGCCATCGCGCGTGGCCCAAAAAGTTGTAATGGAACTGCTGTCTTTACAATATGGAATCTTCCAATCCATTAACATAATCTATCTCCATTTATTTAAATCTTCTGTAATTCTCTCAACAAAATTGTATAGTTTCCTCCATATGGCCCATGCCTACCTTCTGTTGAACTTATTCCTGGGCACTTGATTTTTTTTTATATTTGAATAAATGTTCTTTTAAAATTTTTGCTTATGCTGGACACAGTGGCTTATTCTTGTTATTCCAGAATTTTGGGAGACCAAGGAGGAAAGATTACTTGAGCTCAGGAGTTTGAGACCAGCCTGTGCAACACAGTGAGACCTTGTCTCTACAAAAAATTTAAAAATTAGCCAGGTATGATGGTGCACACCTGTAGTCCCAGCTATTTGGGTGGCTGAGGTGGGAGGATCAGCTGAGTCAGGGAGGTTGAGGCTGTAGTGAGCTATAATCATGCCACTGCACTCCAGCCTAGCTGACCAAGACCCTGTCTCAAAAAAAATTTTTTTGGCTTTGCTTATTGCTGGTATACAGAAATGTAACTGATTTTTAAATATTGATTATTTATCAATCGATCTTACTATTCTATTATTTGGGGTTTTTGGTTGATAATAATACCATCTAAAAATAATTGCTTTGTTCTTCCTATTTTTTTTTTTTATTGGAGACAGAGTTTTGCGCTTGTTGCCCAGGCTGGGGTGCAATGGCGTGATCTCAGCTCACTGCAACCTCCGCCTCCCGGGTTCAAGTGATTCTCCTGCCGCAGCCTCCTGGGTAGCTGGGACTGCAGGCGTGTGCCATGATGCCCAGCTAATTTTTGTATTATTAGTAGAGACAGGGTTTCACCATGTTGGCCAGGCTAGTCTCGAACTGCTGACCTCAGGTGATCCACCTGCCTCGGCCTCCCAAAGTGCTGGGATTACAGGCGTGAGCCACCATGCCCAGACTGTTCTTCTTTTTAAAAACCTGTTTCCTTCTCTTTTTGGTTGTTATACTGACTAGGACTTTCAGAACAATGTTGAATAGAAGTGTTAATAGCAGGCACTCATCTTGTTCCTGATCTTCAAGAATATATTCAACATTTCATCATTAAGTACAATGTTTGGTGTAGGTTTTTTGGGCAGATTCCTACTATTAGATTAAGGAAAGTTCTGTTTCAATTTTGCTAAGCTTTCTTTTCATGAATATATGTCAAACTGTGTAAGAGATTTTTCAGCATTTATTGAGATATTCCTATATTTTTCCTTTAATATATTAATGTAGTTATTTACATTAATTTACTTTCTAATTTCAAATCAGTCTTTTATTTTTACCTCATTGCTAGATTCAGTTGGCTAATATTTTGTTTATGATTTTTCTATCTTTATTCTTCAGCGAAATTGCATGGTAATTTTGCTTTCTTGTGCTATTCATGTCAGATTTTGGTATAAAGTGTATGCTAACATCATGGAATGAATTAAGACTGGCTCTTGTTATTTTATACACTGGAATAGTTTATATAAATTGGGATTATTTATTTCTTGTAAATTTGGTAGTGCTAGTCTATAAAACCATCTAGACCTAACTACTGATGCAGTATTATTGGTTATGATACTACTTTCTAATCTTTTACTAATGTCAGTTTTGGTAATTTCTACTTTTCTAGGAATTAGCCTATTTCATTGAACTTTAGAATTTTATTGGCATGAAGTTGTTCACAATATCCTCTGTTTCTATTTTTAAACTTTAAAGGCCAGACACAGTGGCTCTCACCTATAATTCCAGCACTTTGGGTGGCTGAGGCAGGAGGATCACTTGAGCCCAGGAATTTGAGATCAGCCTGGCAACACAGCAAGACCCTGCCTCTTAAAAAAAAAATTGAAGGCCAGGCGTGGTGGCTCACGCCTGTAACCCCAGCACTTTAGGAGGCCGAGGCGGGCGGATCACAAGGTCAGGAGTTTGAGACCAGGCTGGCCAACATGGTGAAACCCATCTCTACTAAAAATACAAAAAAAAAAAAAAAAAAAAAGCCGGCGTGGTGGCACATGCCTGTAATTCCAGCTACTTGGGAGGCTGAGGCAGGAGAATCGCTTGAACCCGGGAGGCAGAGGTTGCAGTAACCTGAGATCGTGCCATTGCACTCCAGCCTGGGTGACAGAATGAGACTCCATCTCAACAACAACAACAACAACAACAACAACAAATATATATATATATATATATATATATATATATATATATATATATATAGTGACAAATAGTTTCAAAGTGGTTCAATTGCACTCTGATCTCTATTCCTTCTTTTTACCTTCTTTGGGTATAATTTGTTGTTCTGTTTCAAAGTTCTTGAGATGGATGCTTACTTAGCTTATTGACAATTCAGCCTTTCTTCTTTTCTAATATCTGCATTTAAGGATCTAAGATTTTCCTCTATACATGGCTTCAGCTGCAATTGCACAAATTTTGATAGTGTTTTCATCATTCAGTTTCAAATATTTTATAATTTATACTGTGATTTCTTCTTTGACTCACAAGTTATTTAAAAGAGCATTTCCAAAAATAAAGAGATTTTCTAGTTATTTATTTCCTGAACTTTCATTGAAAAACAAACTGCTTAATCTCAATGCTTGGAAATTGTATGAATTTGTTTTTTGTGTTGTCTGATATTAACATAACACACCAACTTTCATTTAGCTAATGCTAGCAGTGGTATGCCTTGACATCCTTTTACTTTAAAACTTTGTGTATCCTTACATTTCAGGTATGTCTTCTGTAAGCAGTTTTTAAAAATCTGATCTGACAATCATTGTCTCAGTCAAATTACATTTAATGTAACTACTAGCAATCTTTGAGTTGAAATCTGTCACCAGAGAATTTACTTTCCATTTGTCCTGTCTGTTCTATGTCCCTTTTCAGTTGCTTTAAACATTTTTTTGGCCAGGCACATTGGCCCATGCCTGTAATCCTAGTGTTTTAGGAGTCCAAGGCAGGAGGATAGCTTGTGGCCAGGAGTTGGAGATCAGCCTGGACAACATGTGGAGACCCTATCTCTATAAAAAAATAAAATGGCCAGGCATAGTGGCTTATGGCTGCAGTCCTAGCTGCCCAGGAGACAGGCGGGAGGATTGCTTGAGCCCAGGAGTTGGAGGTTGCCGTGAGCTGTGACAGCACCAATGAACTCCAGCCTGGGCAACAGTGCAAGATCCCATCTCTAAGAATATATATACATTTGCTATTGATATCTCCCCATATGCTATTTAGTATGTTAAATATATTTTTACTCTTCTTTTAGCGAATACCTAAAGAGCTAACATCATGCATCAACTTTTTAAAGTGAAGTACGTAATTATTACTTCCTGGATGATGCAAGAACCTTAGCTCACTTCAACTTCCTTTATCCCATCCTAATATTTAATTTTTTAGATATAATTATATATAAATTTAATGCTCTACTAAAATTTTTCATGTTTTATACCATTCCCAGCCTGGACAACAAACTGAGACCCTTGTCTCTACAAAAAATAAAAAAATTAGCCAGCCATGCTGGCGTGTGCCTGTGGTCCCAGCTACACAAAAGGCAGAGGCAAGAGGATTACTTGAGCCCAGGAAGTCAAGGCTGCAGTGAGCAGTGTTCATGCCACTGCACTCCAGCTTGGATGACAGAGAGAGACTCTGTCTAAAAAAATGAAAAAAAAGTTCACATTCATTTTGATTTACACGCATATTTATTTTTGTTCTTTTCATTCTTTCCTGTACCTCTGATCTTCCACCTTTTTCCTTCCTCCTAAAGAATAATTTTGTTACCTGTTTCTGTGTAGATCTGATAGTGGCAAATTCTCTCAATATTTGTCTGGAAATATCTTTGTCTCTTGACTTCCATTGTTTCTGCAGTGAACTTAGCTCTCTTTTTGAGCCTCCTTTGAAAGTAATCTATCTCTTTCCTCTAGCTGCTTTTAAGATTTTCTTTGTCTTTGTGCATGTATGTTTTATTTTAGTTTTAGCAGCTTTACTCTTGTAGCTAAGTGTGGCTTTATATTTCTGTCTTTTTTTCTTCTTTTTTTTGTTGTTTGTTTTTGAAGAAGTTGGTAGGGATTTTTGTTTTTGTTTTTAAAGCAGTTGGAAGGTTTTTTTTTTGTTTTTGAAGCAGTTTTGTTTCAGAAGGTTTGGAGTGTGGTGGCGCTGGAATGCAGTGGCGCAATCTCAGCTCACTGCAGCCTTGACCTCCCAGATTCAAGTGATCCTCCTTCTTCAGCCTCCTGAGTAGCTGGGACCACAGGCGCATGCCACCACACCCGGCTAATTTTTTTGTAGAGTCAGGGTTTTGCCATGTTGGCCGGGCTGGTCTCAAACTCCTGAGCTCAAGAGATCCAACTACCTCAGCCTCCATAAGTGCTGGGATTACAGGGGTGCGCCACCATGCCTGGCCTGCTTTTTTTGTCTTTCTCTTGCTTGAGATGTATAGCCTTTCTTGAATCTACAATGTCTTTTGTTAATTTTTAAAATTGTCATCCATTATCTGTTCAAATATTGATTTATCTTCATTCTCTTTAATATCTTTCTGAAACTCCATTTATATTTATAAGATCTTTTCCCTGTATCTTATGACATATCTTAATCTCTATGTCCCATTTTGGTAAATCTGAACTTTATTCTGTATATTTTTTTCTCATCTATTCTCAAGCTCACAAATCCTTCAGCTGTGTCCAGTTTGCTGTTAAATCATCCAGTGAGTTTTTATCAGTTACTGTACTTTTTAGTTCTAGGGTTTTCTTTTTTTAGCTTCTAGTTCTCTGCTAAATTTCTCCATCTTATAATTCCTTGAACATATTAAATAGTTTTAATGTCAGATCTCCTGTGGGTCTATTTCTATTGTTTGCTGATTTTCTTGGTTTTTCAGACAACGAATCTCTTTGTACTAGTGCTCGTCACTGTATACAAAAATTATAGGGATAATTTAAAGCACTGGATGATATATTATATTTTTAAAAAAATTTCTTTAGAGACAGGGTCTTGCTTGGTCACCCAGGCTGAAGTGTAGTGATGTGATTATAGCTCACTGTAACCTCAAACGCCTGGGCTTAAACAATCCTCCCACCTCAGCCTCCAGAGTAGCTAGTATGGCAGGCGCACACCACCTTGCCCAGCTAATTTTTAGATTTTTTGCAGATATGGGATCTCTCACTATGTTGCTCAGACTGGTCTCCAACTCCTGGCCTCAATTAATCTTCCCTCCTCAGCCTCCCAAAGAACTTGGATTAAAGGTGTAAGCCACGGCACTCAGCTGCATATTTTCTTCTTCCATAGAAGATTCATCTTTAATTATGGCAAGTAAGCTAGAGTAGAGGTGCCGGCAATCTGAGGTCTTCTTAATCTACGTAGGGAATGAGATTATTTGAAGCTGGCCTTTAGTCCCCATGAGTACTGTCGATTCTGGATTCACCTTTAGTCCTAGGGTATACTGGGTGAGGGGAGGGGAGTTTCAATCCCAAACCTAAATTGCGGATCCTAAATTGCAATTCTTGTAATCTCATCTATCCCACCCATGAGTCCATTAGAAATACCATTCAGAGGCCAGGCGCAGTGGCTCAAGCCTGTAATCCCAGCACTTTGGGAGGCCGAGGCAGACAGATCACCTGAGGTCAGGAGGTCGAGACCAGCCTGACCAACATGGAGAAAGCCCGTTTCTACTAAAAATACAAAAATTAGCCGGGCGTGGTGGCAGGCGCCTATAATCCTAGCTAATCCAGAGACTGAGGCAGGAGAATCGCTTGAACCCGGGAGGCAGAGGTTGCAATGAGCCAAGATTGCGCCATTGCGCTCCAGCCTGGGCAACAACAGTGAATGAAACTCTGTCTCAAAAAAAAAAAGAAAGAAAGAAAGAAAGAAATACCATTCAGCCTCATTGCTGCTGCTGCTTTTGAGATTGACAGATGTCTCTCAGAGAAGCGAGCTCAAATGCTGGGCTCACATCACTGGCTTTCCTATTTTTTAGAACTTGACCCTGCAATTTCTTCATTTCCCTGATAATGCTCTAATCCCCTCACACATAAGCTTTCTATATCTTACATTAAATATTTAATATTTTCTCTAGCTTTTCTGATTATTCTCAGTTGGAAGTTTGGTCCAAACAATCTACCTCTTGCATATAAAATTGTCCCCCCAACTTTTTTTTTTTTTTAAGATGGAGTTTCGCTCTCGTTGCCCAGGCTGGAGTGCAGTGGCGCAATCTCAGCTCACTGCAACCTCCGCCTCCCAGGTTCAAGTGATTCTCCTGTCTCAGCCTCCTGAGTGGCTGGGATTACAGGCGTTTGCCACCATGCCCAGCTACTTTTTTGTATTTTTAGTAGAGATGGGGTTTCACCATGTTAGCCAGGCTGGTCTCAAACTCCTGACCTCAGGTGATCCAGCCGCCTTGGCCTCCCAAAATGCTGGGATTACAGGCGTGAGCCACCGCGCACGGCCGCCCCGCTCCCCCTAACCCTTTTATTTTTTTAATTTGAGACAGAGTTTCGCTCTTTTGCCCAGGCTGGAGTGAAGTGGCACAGTCTTGGCTCACTGCAACCTCCGCCCCTCGGGTTCAAGCGATTCTCCTGCCTCAGCCTCCGGAGTAGCCGGGATTATAGGCGCCCACCACCATGCCTGGCTAATTTTTTTATTTTGAGTAGAGTCAGGGCTTCGCCTGTTAGCCAGGCTGGTCTCGAACTCCTGACCTCAGGTGATCCACCCGCCTCGGCCTCCCAAAGTGCTAGGATTACAGGTGTGAGCCACTGTGCCGACCTATGTCCCTCTTTTTATTCTGAATATTATCTGTGCATTTTCTTAGTACCATGGATGTTTTTCATTTTTATAAGTGTTTTCAAAGACAAAACTTTGTCCCTATTCAGTATTTCTGATGGTTTTTAAAATTTCACTAATTTCTACCTTTTTTTTTTTTTTACTATATTTCCTTCTGCTCTCTTTAGATTGATTTTCCTATTATTTGCAGATAACTTTGCTATTCTCTTTCATGAGATGAATACTTAGCTCATTAATTTTCCTTATCAGTTTATTAAAGACTATAATTTTCCTACTAAGTACAGCTTTACTTGTATCCCACAAGTTTTGAGACATATGATTTCATTATCATTTAGTTCTGAACATTTCTAATTTCCATTATAATTTCCCCTTTGACCCATGAATTTATCAATTCTTTTTGAAAATGAATGAGACTTTTCTAGTTATCTTTTTTTTTTTTTTTCTTTGAGACAGAGTCTCATTCTGTCACCCAGGCTAGAATGCAGTGGCAACCTCAAACTCTGAAGCTCAAGCAGTCCTCCTGCCTCACCTTCCTGGGTAGCTAGGACCACAGGCACATGCCACCACACCAGGCTAATTTTTAAATTTTTGTAGACAGTCTTTCTTCCTTGCCCAGGCTGGTCTTGAACTCCTGCCAGATCCTCCCACCTCAGTTTTCCAAAGTGCTGGGATTACAAGTGTGACCCACTGTGCCAGGTCTCTGGTTATCTTTTTAATTATACTTGTCTCTTGACTTCCAAAAATATAAAATATATAATATATATTATATAAATATATATTTTATGTATGTATTTTTATATATTTTTATATATAAATTTTATATATAAATATAAATATATAAATATATATTTATATTTTATATTATATAATATATTTATATTTTATATTATATATTTTTATATTATATTATATAAATATATTATATTTTTATATTATATTATATAAATATATTTTATATTATATATTATGTATTATATATTTTATATATTACATATATTATATATTTATATAATATATTATATAAATATATGTTTTATATATTTATATATTATATAAATATATATTTTATATTATATATAATATACTTTTACATAATATAATATATATATTTTTCTTGAGACAGGGTCTCATTCTGTCGCCCAGGCTGTCGCCCAGGCTGGAGTGCAGTGGCGCGATTTTGGCTCACTGCAACCTCTGCTTCCGGGGTTCAAGTGATCCTCCCACCTCAGCCTCCTGAGTAGCTAGGACTATAGGCATGAGCCCCACAACTGGCTAATTTTTGTATTTTTTGTAAGGATGGTCTGGAACTCCCAGGCTCAAGTGATCCACCTGCCTCAGCCTCCCAAAGTGTTGGGATCACAGGTATGAACCACCATGCCAGCTAGTTATCTTTTTATTTACTTCTAGTGATCACATTGTGGTGAGAAACTGTATTCGGTATGATACCAATCTTTTGAAACTTGTGGTCTCATATGTGAAAATTTTATAACTGTTCCTTGTGTGTTTGAAAAATATAAGGATGAAGCGGCTGTTACATACAGTTAAGTGTGATATTCAAAGAGGTTAAAAATTCAGGCCAGGCACAGTGGTTCACACTTATAATCCCAGCTCTTTGGGAGGCTGAGGTGGGTGGATCACCTGAGGTCAGGAGTTCAAGACCAGCCTGACTAACATGGTGAAACCTCATCTCTACTAAAAATACAAAATTAGCCGAGCGTGGTGGTGCATGCCTGTAATCCCGGCTACTTGGGAGGCTGAGGCAGGAGAATTGCTTGAACCTGGGAGCTGGAGGTTGCATTCAGGCAAGATCGCGCCATTGCAGTCCAGCCTGGACAACAAGAGTGAAACTCTGTCTCAAAAAAAAAAAAAAAAAAAAAGAAAAGAAAAGAAAATTCAGTGGTAATATAAATTAACATAAATAAAATTTAAAAACATTTTCTAAATAAATTAACCTATATAGATTATAAAAATGCTCACCAGGTGATAACCATTGTAGCTCAAATTGTTCATTAAATCATTCTAGTAATTTTCAATCATTTATTAATTTTTGGAAATTGTAGCCATAATCTTTTATTTGACACAGATGCCCTTGTCTGAACCATGAATTGACATAGGAAACTAGATAAAGCCCTTCTAAGAATGTCCACATTAAATTTATAGTCATTAAATAACTTGTAGTCATGATACGTTAAAAAAAATCACACTTTTTAAAATTTTTTGTAGAGACAAGGTCTCCCTATGTTGCCCCAGCTGGTCTTGAACTCGAGCTCAAGCAATCCTCCACCTTCAGCCTCCCAAAGTGCTAGGATTATAGGCATGAGCTGCCATACCTGGCCTAAAAAAAAGAAATCACTCTTAACATCAACAGAATTGTTCATGGGAGCTGAATCCTCTTTTTGGCTTTTGCTGAAGTAACAGTAAGTATATTTTAAAATGTTTTTAGCCCTTCAAATGCTTGCTGTTAGTTTCATATAGTCAATATTTGTTTAAATATATTAATAACTAAGTCACAAAAATAATTTATTGATATACTTAATTATATTAAACCTAATCCCTCAGTCCAGGTGAGAGGTAACGTAACACAGCAGTTAACAGCATACACCAAGGTACAGAACCTTCATTTAATAAACTTTCTGCTTCTTAATTCCCCCAACTAAATGTGTCTGGTAGACAGAAAAAGATGTATTTTGGTAGTCATTTTCATTTATAACATGAGTGTCATTAATGCCTACTGTAGGCAGGTATTCATTGGGTGTTGGCACACTTATCCTATCTAAATAATGGGGAAATTAAACAAGAATGATAAAACTAAGGATGTGCATCCCAGAAGTTATTCATCCATAAACCATCCCCACAGGCCTCGATCATCTGCTGTAGATTCTATCCTGCCATGGGAATGTATACTGTGCCAAGAGAATTAATATATTTTGATGGCAACTGCGGTAGTACAGTACTATTACTCTCATTTGACTGCTCTTCTTTCTGGATCTCCCGGGGCTGTAGTTCCCAAAGGGGCCATGTGAGAGTGATATGAGAAAGGTAGGCAGCCCTACTCTTAGGGAAGCCAGATGGTCACTGGGCCTATGGATTTTTTTGTGTGTTGGAGGTTGCCAGGCACGGGTGAGGAGTAATTAGAATGGCTGCTGCCCTGTAGTTCTCCAGTGAGATGTTTGCTGACAGTCTCTTGCTGTCCTAGTTCTTAACTCTTTAGTTGCTATATAATTGGTTACTATAGGAAGTCCCAAGGAAGGCGATGAAGCATTAAGATGACACTTAACAGGCTTGGGACAGTAACTGTTCAACCACTATGGACATATCAATATTTTAACAACTAGTATAGCTGAACCAGTATCAGCTGAATAGCAGGCCTGAATGTAGTCTACGAATGCCATTAAGAGTAAGATTTTAAGAGGTACTGTTCTTTTATTTATTTTTTAATTTTATTTTATTTTTTGCAAGACAGGGTCTCTGTTGCCCAGGCTGGAGTGCAGTGGCACAATCCTGGTTCACTGCAGCCTCCACCTTCCGAGCTCAAGTGGTCCTCCTGCCTCAGCCACCTGAGTAGCTGGGACAAAGGGACACGTCACCACAACCAGCTAATTTTTGTACTTTTTGTAGAGACAGGGTCTCCTTATGTTGCCCAGGGTGGTCTCAAACTCCTGGGCTCAAGTGATCCACCTGCCTTGGCTTCCCAAAATGTTGGGATTGTAGGCGTGAGCCACTGCGCCAAGCTACTCTTTGTCTTTTAATTAGAATATTTAGTACCTTATAGTTATTGCAACTAGTAATGTTTGGATTTATTTTCAGCTATTCTTTGTGCTTTTTATTTATTATATCTTGTCTTTTTTTCTTTTCCTTTCTTGCCTTCTTTTGGAATTTTTTTCTCATTCTGTACTTTTTCTTGTACTAGTCTGGAAATTATAATCTTTCTTGTCTTTTGGTTCCTTGAAAATTTTAAATACCTATTAAAGCCCAAAGTTAACATATATTATTATCCCCCCAAATACATAAAAACTTAGAATGTCACTTATCATTTATTTTTATTTTACTTTGAGATGGAGTCTCACTCTGTCACCCAGGCTGGAGTGCAGTGATGTGATCTCCGCTCACTGCAACCTCTGCCTCCCAGGTTCAAGTGATTTTCCTGCCTCAGCCTCCCAAGTAGCTGAGATTACAGGTGTATGCCACCACACCAGGCTAATTTTTTTGTATTTTTAGTAGAGACAGGGTTTCATCAGGTTGGCCAGGCTGGTCTCACACTCCTGACCTCAAGTGATCCGCCCGCCTCGGCCTCCCAAAGTGCTGGGATTACAGGCATAAACCACCACACCCGGCCTCACTTCATAATTTATATGCTATTATTGTCTTCTATTTTTGTTCCATCTCTATTAATCCCAAAAGACATTATCAGATTAACATGTACATACATATTTAACACTTTTTGTTCTTCATTCCTTCTAGCTTCTCAGACCTTCCGTTTGAAAATAATTTCCTTCTCTCTGAACTTAGAATTCCTTTATTGGAGGTCTGCTGGCAAACTTACTCAGCTTTCCTTGTCTGAATATGTATTTATTTCATCTTTGTTCTTGGCAAGGACAAAGAACCTATGTTTGTTGGGTATAAATCTAGACTGAGGGTTTTTTCCTAGCATATTGAAATAATTACCACTGTCTCTATATTTATATTATGGTTGAAGACTAATTGGCTATCACTCTCATAGTTGCTCCTTTGAGGCCTTTTTTCTCTACTTTTTTTTTTTTAAATGGAGTTTTGCTCTTGTTGCCCAGGCTGGAGTGCAGTGGTACGGTCTTGGCTCACCGCAAGCTCTACCTCCCAAGTTCAAGCGATTCTCCTGCCTCAGCCTCCTGAGTAGCTGGGATTACAGGCATGCACCACCACGCTCGGCTAGTTTTGTATTTTTAGTAGAGACAGGGTTTCTCCATGTTGGTCAGGCTGGTCTCGAACTCCCAACCTCAGGTGATCCACCCACCTCAGCCTCCGAAAGTGCTGGGATTACAGGCGTGAGCCACCGTACCCGGCCCCTTTTTCCTCTGTCTTTTAAGATTTTATATTTATTGTCCCACAGTTTCACTACAATATGTCTAGAAAGAATTCTTGCTTGGGTTTGTTGGGCTTCTTAAATCATGGCTTGGTGCCTTTCTTCAATTCTGGAAAGTTCTCAGCTATTATGTCTTCAAATAGTCCCCCTTACACCATATGATATGCTTATATGGTATAAGCGTACCATATAGTTAGCCAGAGTTCCTGAAGAAACTGGGACTATTTTCTTTAGGAACTCTGGCTAACTATATGGTATGCTTTTTCTCTCTATGCTCTGTGTTACTAAATCTCCTTTTCATATTTTCAATCTCTGTGTTTTCCAGGTCTGTATTCTAGTTAGTTTCTTTGCTTCTATTTTCCAATATGTGAATTATCTCTATAGCTGTGCCTAATGTGTTCTCATGGAGGACAGTTTGACAGGGTCTGACATACTATAATTTATTAACATTATCAATTTTACTTTTTCAAAATGTCATTTTAGAAGGTGATACACTTATTTTGACAATGTTTCTATCACTTAAAACATTTTTTGAATTCTTTAGAAAATACCTTCTAACCCATTTATCTTTTTTATTGCCAAATTCCTTATATTGTGGTCTCTATTAAATTCATAATTTTAATTTTTACATTCTGTGTCACCCCCTCCTTCTCTGTATTGAGAAGTCCTTGAGGGTGACAGTGGTTATGCTACCTGGTAAGCTGATTTAACTCATATTTAACTGAAAGATATGAGAAATTACCTCATTTAACACGGATATGTCATCTATCTGTAAAATTACTTTAAGTCCTACACAAATGTAGGGCATACTAGATGAAGTAAGAAGACTGAAAAATTAAAACACTGAAGTATTTTCACTCATCACCCTGATAAACATGAAAAAGAATGGCAGTATGCAGTGTTGCCAAGGGTATGAGGAGACAGGCATGTGTCTAGAATGTAGGAATCAGAATATAGTAATGAGAATTAGTATGATCTTTGCAGAGGGCAATTTAACAATAGATATAAAAATCTTCATAACAATAACTCATTCTAGGGATTTATCCTAAAGATATAAATATAAAATATTTGTTCAAAGAGGTTTTATTTAAACTAATGAAAAATGTTAATGTTGTAGAAATATATTTATTAACATAAGCAGTTCACAATTTACTGTAAGAAAAAAAGCAAGCTACAAAACAGTGATTCCATGTTTATATTAAAATAAACATACACAAATTAAAAATTTCCTTAGATATCCATTTAATCTCTGGGATCATAAGCAATGTTTAGGTATTTTTTGCTCATTTATTGCCTAGGTTTTACACAATGAGCATATATGTTAATTGTGTAATTTAAAATTATGGAATTAAGTGCAAGAGTTCCTAACCACCTTTTACAAAACTGTTATGAGAAAATACATTCTAGATTCAAACAAAAACTAAGCAATATATCCCTTATTCTAACAGCTCTAAAATCTGTTCTTCTCATTATACTCCCACCTAAAATCCCACATCCAAAAAGTAGAAATAGCTGCTTCTGAATTCCTGAAAGTATCGGTAGGAGGTTGGGAGGAGAGGGGCCGGGATATGAAGAGAGAAACTGAATATTTGAGGACAGACTGTTCGTGTTTTGAGGGAAACTTTAGGAATAGGGCTTGGCTGAAGGAAGGAGGCTGCGAGGTTCCATGAATAAGTTTCAGCAAAATAGTTTCTCCTCTCACCAGTTTTCCACCTTATTCAGGTGTGCATCCACTGCTACATGCTCCAACCAATTGCTGTTGAGACCCCAGAGACCCCAGCACCACGTGTGATTAGGAAGCGCTTCCATCATTGAAATGGAATAGAGTCTACTTGCTCACAGTAACTCCTGTTTCTATTCCTTTGCTCCTTCCTTAGCAACTTCAGGTCTTTCTTCAGTAAAATTTTTTGCTTTGTAAACCTATTTTTTTTCACCTCCTGTAACATGATATGCTGCCCTTCTACGACCTTTGACATACCAATCATCTCCATCTGAAATACTTCTATCCCTTTCCCAACCCTATCTTGACTAATTTATTTCGTACTCATTTTTATTTTCATTTAGGTGCCACTTCCTCAGGGAATCCGTGAACACAGTGTCCATAACAGATTCCTTCAAGACTTTATCTCAATTAACAAATATATTTTATGCATTATTTAGTAAGGCTATCTACTATCTAGTTGAACCATTAAGTCCCAGGCTCAATGAAAACAGTGCCATTAGCTGGTTTTGCTCAGCATGGTTACTCCTGCATTTGGAACATAGCAAGTGCTCAACAAATATACGCCGAATGAGAGAATGAATGAATGAACAACTGAGTAAACAACTAGCAACCGAGAGGCTTGGTGGGGTAAGAATTACATTAACTATGTCACCTCATGGTGGAACTGTGCACATTTTTTCTTTTGATGGCGGACTTGTGTACTGACAAGACAAAGTTTTAAATAGATACGATTTTGGAAAGTTCCCTTTAAAGCAAAGCCATACAATAAATATTTAATCAGCCAAGAAAAAGGCTGTAGTCTAGCCTGGGGACTTCACAAATGACCCAAATCATGAGAGCCACGTCTCTACAGTGTCTTAGTACTGTATCTTCCTTGAGCAAAGGAACGCACTTGCCCCATCATGGCAAGTTCAGGTACAGAGTGCAAGGAATCTACAGCTTTCCTACCCCGACACAGGTTTAGGTAGGAAAACGCGAGCCTAGGATGATGGGGAGAAAGCGGGCATTTATTCAAAATGTATTTACTGAGCACCTACTGTGTACCAGAAAGCCCTAGTTGTGGGCTGGCTCTGACAGGTCCGCTGTGTAGCTTCGGGCATTTCTCCTTCACAGAGCCCAAGTCCTGAAGGCGAGCAAGTGGGGCCCCGCCTGCCTGCCTCAAAAAGCTGGGCTGGGGATTCCAAGGGCGAGAATGCGCTTCAGAAAGTGCCAGGAGGCACGAAGGCCAGCGGCCCCAAACGGCCTCGCTAACCTCGGCCCGGGCGCGGGGAGCGAGCCCAGGACGGCCGTCCGCTGGCAGCAGAGCCGGGCGGAGGCGGGCGCCCGCCCTCCGAGGGGCCGCGCTTACCCGTCGGGCGAGTACTCGAGGTTGAAGACGGCGCCGTGGGTGCGGGTGCTGAGGTACACCGAGTCCGCGGGGTGGATGGAACCGTAGAGGCTAGTCATGGTGCGAAAATTGTCCCGCGCCGGGTCCACGAACAGCCCGCGGCCCAGGCTGCGCTCTTTCAGCCACCCGAACAGCCTAGCGCCAGGGCCGCCCAGGCCCGCGCCGAGGCCGTGTCGGCCCCGGCTCTTGGCCCTGCAGTCTGGCCCGGGCCGCCGGCACGGAGGGGAGGGAGGTGACGGCTCTCCCGGGGCGGAGGCAGTTGAGGACTCCGGAGCTCCAGGCAGCCCTAGCTCTCCGGAGCGCGGGGCCGGGGACAGCGATGGGGCGCCGGGGCGGCGAGGGCTTCGGGCGGGTGGAGGGGGATGGGTCGCATCAGCCCCGGGATGTAGTGGCGAGGGCGGCCCGGTGGCTGCTGCCTGCCCCTCGTGGGGCGTCGGCTCCTCAGCCCCGGCTCCGGCCGATCCGTCCCCTCCAGGGCTATGGGGCCCAAAGGGAAACATGATCAACGCCCCCGCCCCCCGCTCCGGGCCACTGCCCCGCCGGCCGACACCTCAGTGCCCCTGTTCAGCTGCCACTTCCGGCGTGCAGCGGCCTAACCCCACCGGCTGGAAACCCGCGCCGCCCCTCGGCCACCGTCCGCCGGGGACCGGGAAAGCTGAGACACCGCCGGGTTTGGGGCGCCGCAGTCCCGGGAACGGAGGTAGGGAGCGAGTAGTTACCTGTGTGAGCGACTGAGCATCTGGGCACCTGATCTGGGTGGCAGAGTCGGTCTGTAGTTGTCAGTGACCGGTGGCCGCGTGCCTGGGGATGAGTGGCCTGACCAGTCAGTCCTGTGAGGCTGAGTATGTACTGGTGTCTCCACTTTACACTGGGATCAGCGAGGGATTAAGAATTAGTGCATTACGTGCAGGCCACACACAATAGGTGACATGCCACTCTTTTTTTTTTTTTTTTTTTCCGAGATGGAGTCTCGCGCTGTCGCCCAGGCTGGAGTGCAGTGGCGCGATCTCGGCTCACTGCAACCTCCGTCTCCCGGGTTCAAGCAATTCTCTGCCCCAGCCTCCCGAGCAGCTGGGATTACAGGCGCCCACCACCACGCCCGGCTAATTTTTTGTATTTTTTAGTAGAGATAGGGTTTCACCATCTTGGCCTGGCTGGTCTTGAACCTCGTGATCCACCCGCCTCGGCCTCCCGAAGTGCTGGGATTACAGGCATGAGCCACCGCGCCTGGCCAGCATGCCCAACTCTTAAAGGCACAACAAGTTCAGGGTGACCACAGGCAGCTTCTTCCAAAACCTATTTGTCACAAGGCAAAGGAGAGACTGAGAGGAAACAGGTTTGGATGTGCTACCCAAGGAATGGCTGAGATAGCCAGTCTGTGTATCTGGGCTTAAATGAAAGATGGCAAATAGGTGATAGTTACTTTTCTGGGTCAACTTGACTGGGCTAACAGATGCCCAGATAGCCTGGAAAACCATTATTTCTGTGTGTGCCTGTGAGGGTGTTTCCAGGACAGATTAGCATTTGAATCAATAGAAGATCTGCCCTCACCATTGTGGACAGGCATCATCCTATTCATTAAAGACTGAAAAGGAACAAAAAGGCAGAAGGGTGATTTAACTTTCTCTTAAGTTGGTACATCCATCTCCTGCCCTTAGACATCAAAACTCGGTTCTGCGGGCTTTGGACTTGGGGACTCATCGTCAGTTTTCAGGCCTTCAGTCTTGGACCGGGAGTTATACCATTAGCTCCTCTGATTCTCACACCTTCAGACTCAGACTGAATTACACCACCAGATTTCCTGGTTCTCCAGCTTGCAGACTGCAGATCATGGGACTCCTCTACAATGATATGAACCAATTCCCATATTAAATGTTCTCTTATATCTATATCTCCTATTGGTTCTACTTCTCTGGAGACCCCCTGGATGGGTCCAATCTACTGTAGCAGCCTACTTGCCTGGCATTCACACTCTTCATGTGTATGCCAGCACGTATATTCTACTGAACCCATCCTAGAAGTCCTAGGCTGTCGAATTTTGTAGCTGTTACTTAGCTTTCCTTGCCTACTAGCCGGGGTAGGACAACTATTTGAGTAACCAGGCTATAGATTAGCCACTGGTCCATGAGGCTGCCAGACCAAAAGTCTTTGCCCATACAGACTCATGCTCTTGGGAATTTGAATTGGGAAATCAGAAGTGAGGCAGTTGGCCATGATGGTTGGGATTGAAAAGTCATAAGGCAGAGTGAGGCCGCTGGAGTCCTGAGCAAACCAAAGGAGTAAGAGAAATCATGAGAAAGCAGCAGCCATGAGAGAACAGACTTGGGATAGACGGTGAGAAAGAAAGTTGATGGTAGGAGGAGATACAGATACATAAAAAGAGACAGACTCAGAACAGGTTAGACTTGTTCTTGGCAGAGTCCCCCTAGGGTCTTCCTGCAGAGTCCCTTGAGGTACCAGAATGATGGCTGCTCAATTTCAGTTTCAGTTTCCTGTGGGATGATCACTTGATTTCACAATACCTGAACCAGGACTTATGCACTGACAAAAAGAATCAAGGGCCAGACACAGTGGCTCACACCTGTAATCTCAGTGCTTTGGGAGGCCAAGGTAGGAGGATCTTTTTTTTTTTTTTCAGGGTCTCACTCTGTTGACCAGGATGGAGTACAGTAATACAGTCATGGCTCACTGCAGCCTCAACCTCCCAAGCTCAAGCAGCAGGAAGATCTTTTGAGGGTAAGGAGTTTGAGACCAGCCTGGGCAACATCATGAAACTCTGTCTCTCTATGAAAAATAACAAAATCATTCCGGTGTGGTGATGCATGCTTGTAGTCCTAGCTGCTCGGAAGGCTGAGCCAGGAGGATCCCTTGAGCCCAGGAGTTCAAGGTTACAGTGAGCTGTGATCACCCTGCACTTCAGCCTGTTGCACTTCAGCCTGAGCAACAGAGTGAGACCCCATCTCAAAAATTAAAAAAAAGAATTGGCACTTTGGGAGGCCGAGGCGGGTGGATCATGAGGTCAGGAGATCGAGACCATCCTGGCTAACAAGGTGAAACCCCGTCTCTACTAAAAATACAAAAAATTAGCCGGGCGCGGTGGCGGGCGCCTGTAGTCCCAGCTACTCTGGAGGCTGAGGCAGGAGAATGGCGTGAACCCGGGAAGCGGAGCTTGCAGTGAGCCGAGATTGCGCCACTGCAGTCCGCAGTCCGGCCTGGGCGACAGAGCGAGACTCCGTCTCAAAAAAAAAAAAAAAAAAAAAAAAAAAAAAAAAGAATTGGAATGACAACCAAGAAAACAAATGTGTCCTTTCAACCAGGGAGCCTTCTGTAGCCCAAAGAAAACAATGTACTCAAGGAGTAAAGTGATCCTATCATATAAGCTTATTGAAAAATAAAAAGCAAACATTCATATAATGTTTAGTGTATGCCTAATATTATGCTGAGTAAAGTGATCCTATCATATAAGCTTATTGAAAAATAAAAAGCAAATGTTCATATAATGTTTAGTATATGCCTAATATTATGCTGAGTTAAGTGATCCTATCATATAAGCTTATTGAAAAATAATAAGCAAACATTCATATAATGTTTAGTATGTGCCTAATATTATGCTAAGCTGGTTCATATATATTAACTCAAAACTCAAGGTATGTTGGTACGATTATTATCCCCATTTTAGAGATGAGAAAACACAGACACAAAAAAGAAAAGTCAGCCTGAGAGTGGTAAAGCCAGGATTCAAATCCAGGCAATCTAGCTCCAGGTTCCATGCTCGTAACCAGGTGCTACACACACATTTGTAGATTGGCTTGGATCTATAGCTATCGCTGTACATACAAGCTCCTTGCCAAGGATGGCAACTCAATAGTATTTTTTAAAAACCTCCAAATCTAAGCCAATCTACAAATATCAGGTCTGGCTCCCCTTTTCTTCTGAACACTTTTAAATTCTGAACCTTTGAATAACTGTAATCCCATGAAAAAGAACAACTTCCATTTGTTGAGTAAGTGCTTCACCAGGCTTATTGGTAGGAGCTTTGCAAGCATTGTCTCTAAATTTCCCTTTACTGGGGGCAGCCATAACTTGGCAACTACGAGGAAATGCAAGCTCAGTATTGCCACAGCTACAGATTTTTCAAAAAATGCCACATGTGGAAGTTCAAAATGAGGCCTGCTGTGGGCTCAATGATGCCACAAGAAATAGGACATAGGATGATATACCTAACACAGCAAGGAGATGCCTTGTGTGGCCATCAGTAGATCTTTGAGAAAAGACAGAGTCACTCTGTTTTACAGGCGTGAGCCACTGTGCCCAGCCTCATATTCTCTTTATTTAAGAAGATACCGGAGGTTATGGACCTCTAGCAAAATGGACAGGTAAAGCAAGAAAGTGGAATAAAAGTGATCTAAGTGGATCTAAGAAGGAGAGCAGTGCAGGAAGGTATAAAAGACAGGTGTACAAAAAGGGAGGGAAATATGACACATGCTACAACGTGTATGAACCTTGAGAATATTATGCCAAGTGAAATCAGCCAGTCACGAAAGGATATATATACTGTATGTTTCCACTTCTATGCAGTACCTAGAGTCGTCAAATTCACAGAGACAGAAAGAAGAATGGTGGATGCCAGGCACTAGGGTGAGGTGGGGATGGGGAGGTATTGTTTCATGGGTACAGAATTTCAGTTTTGCAAGATGAGAAGAGTTCTGGAGATGGATGGTGGTGATGGCTGCACAACAGTATGAATACACTTAACACTGTGTATGTACTGAATGTACATGTAAAAATTGTTAAGATGATAAATTTTGTTATGCATATTTTACCACAATTAAAGAAAAGACAGCTGTGCAGCAGGCCTGAAGAGCAGCCCCCCCAAAGTGGGAGGAGCACAGAGTGGGAAGTCTCCAGAGGAAAAATGGAAATGGAATGTTGCAATCTATTAAGGCGAGGCAAAAGACTCCAATGCCAGAATAGTGGAAGAAATTAACAAAGTATATAGAATAACAAACAATGGACTGAAACGAGGCAATCACCAACTCCATGAAAAATAAAGGATTGCATAAAATGTACAATCTGTCAAGGCAGATAACAATATTTGCACTGGTAATATTGTAAAAAATGGCTTCTGATTTAACCAGAAATTGTGCTGTAACTATGCCGTGTGTTAGCAAAGCGTGGAGAGGGAGGGATGAAGAGTGTGGAAATAGGAAGAGCCAAAACCACATCTACCTTGTCAGGAAGTCAACACATTCTCTTAAAATTAAGAAATCAAGCAATATCAGTGTATTATATTTAAACATTGAGGTAAAATAGCAGAGAAAAGAGCTGTAGATGAAGGTGGTTGTCTTTTCGGATGGGAACTGGAGGGTGCAATGGGTAGGAATTTTTTCATCTTCTCAAACTGAAATTCGTATACTTAGGCATGAAGTCCCATTTCCACCCTTCAACCCCCACTCCCAAGCACCTGGCATCCCCTGCTCTTTTTCAGAAGCCTTGTAGACTCAAAATTACCTGCACTATTTAGGCGAAAACTAAAAGTGGATATTTTCTAAGGTGTAAGTCATGTTACTGTTTTTCCTCAGGTATACTGTTTTCAGCCTAGAGCAAAAGTAAACTTTTAAGTGGTCTCTGCAGGGATATCTGACATTAAATGTTCATAAAGCTGGAGAAATACCTAGCAAGTTTAAAAGTTAGTGGAGCTTTCCCTGGTACAGAAACTCCTTCACAGAATTCACACTATGCCTTTGATATACCGGTTTCTAGGTTCTTGGGATCTGAGTGTGTATGTGCATTTGCACAAATTTGGTAGTCTGAATCTGGTGTGTTTGATGCTATGACAAATTATGGACAGTGAGCTATGGAAACACAGATGAGGGACAGTTCAGCAGAGGGTCAGAAGATACTCCCTGGAGGAGCTGGTGATCAAGCCAGTTTTTAAGGAGAGGTTAAGCAGAGGGAGGGAGACTGGATTGTTAAGCAGGGTGCATACATGGCATGAAGAATGGCACAGATCAGGGCATGTTTGGGAAATTTACAAGGGATTTGGTGTTGCTCAAGAAATGGAAGTCAGGGAGAAGCAGGATGAGGTGGCAAGGTGAGCAGAGGAGAGGGTCACAGAGAGTCTTTTTTCCCTGTAGGTGATACGATGCTCTCAGAGGGCTTTCAGGCAGGAGAAAGGCATGGTCAAAGCTGTGTTTGTTATTTGTTTTGCAACAAGTTTTTCCATATATTTGCCCCATCAGGCTGAATTGTCATCAAGAAGACACCTATTTTGCCTGTCTCCATATTATGTTTTTAGTTATGAAAAATTTTCAAACAAAATTAGAGAGAAGAGTATTTAAAAAAATAACTATATGCCCATCATCTAGATTCCATTATTAGGATTTTGCCACATTCAATTCATCTCTCTCTCTCTCTCCTTTTTCTGTGAAAATAATTCTTTATTGTGGTAAAATATATATAAACATAAAATTGACCATTTTAATCATTTTTAGATATACAGTTCAGTGATATTAGGTACATTCACATTGTTGTGCATCCATCACCACCATCCATATCCAGAACTTTTTCATCTTCCCAGACTGAAACTCTGTACCCGTGAAACAATGACTCTCACTGACCCGTCTCTCCAGCCTCTGGCAACTAAATATCAACTTTCTATCTCCATGGTTTGAAGGCATTTCATGTAAATGGAATAATACAATATGTGGCCTTTTACTTAGCGTAATATTTTCTAGATTAATTTTACATTGTAGCACATTTAGTCCCTTTTAGGTTTAAATAATATTCTATTGTATGATATACCATGCTTTGTTTATTCACTTATCAGTTGCTGGACATTTGCATTACTTATACTTTTGGCTATTATTAATCATTATGCTATGAACATTCATGTCTAAGTTTTTGTGTAAACATAAGCTTTCAATTTTCTTGGGTATATCCTAGAAGTAGAATTGTCTGCCTGCCTTTCTTTCTTTCTCCCTTCCCTTCCCTCCCCTCCCCTCTCTTTCCTCCTCCCTCCCCCCCTTCCATTCCCCTCTCTTCCCCTCCCTTCCCCTCCCGTCCCTTCTCTTTTCAGAGATGGGGTCTCTGTTACTCAGGCTGATCTCAAACTCTTGGGCTCAAGTGATCATCCTGCCCAGGCTTCTACAGTGCTGGGATTACAGGCATAAGCCACCACACCCCTGGCTGGAATAGCTATGTTATATGGTAACTTTATGTTTAACTTTTTAAGAAGCTGCAAAACTGTTTTTCAGTTTTCAAAGTGGCTGTACCATTTTATAATTCTACCAGCAAGATGAGTGTTCTGAAATTTCTATATCCACAACACTGGTTATAATGTCTTTTTGATTGTAGCCATCCTAGTGGAGGTGAAGTGATATCTCATTGTGATTTAATTTGAATTTCCCAGATGACTAATGATACTGAGTATCTTTTCATATGCTTCTTGGTTGTTCATATATCTTCTTTGAATAAATGTCTGTTTGGATCCTTGGCCCACCTTTAAATTGGGTCATCTATCTTTTTATTATTGAGTAGTAAAGTTCTTTATATATTCTAGATACATGTCCCTTATCAGACATATAATTTTTAAATATTTTCTCCTATTCAGTGAGTTATCTGTTCTAATTTTGATAAAGTCAGATTTTTCAATTTTTTCCTGAATGTGCTTCTGGTGGTATAATATCTAAGAAACCACTGTCAAATCCAAGGTCACAAAGATTTGCCTCTGCATTTTCTTCTAAGAGTTTTATAATTTTAGTTCTGAGATTTAGGCCTTTCAATCATTTAATGTTTTTATATAGTTTAAGATAGGGATCCAACTTCATTCTTTTGCATGTGTATATCCAGTTGTGCTTACACCATGTATTGAAAACATTATTCTTTCCCCATTGAATTGTCTTGGCACCTGTGTAAAAAATCAGCTGATTGTAAGCATAAAGGGTTTTAAAAAAATATTTTTTCCCATCTCTCAACTTTTAGCTGAAGATGAAGTTTTATTTCTGTATCTTAATTCTATTCCATTAATCTATATCTATCCTTATACCTATACAACATTGTCTTGATTACTGTAGCCTTGTAGTAAGTTTTGCAATCAGAAATATAAGTTATTTTGTTCTCACAAAAGAAGAACTTTGTTCTTCTTCAAGATTATTTTGGCTATTCTGAGTCTCTTGAATTTCCATACAAACTTTAGGAGCAATTTGTCATTTTTTGCAATGAAGGCAGTTGGGATTTTGAGAAAAATTGGATTGAATCTGTATTTCAATTTTGGGAATAGTGTTATCTTAGCAATTTTTTTTTAAATTATTGTTATTTGTGGAGATATGGTCTCACTTTGTTGCCTAGGGTGGTCAGGAACTCCTGGGCTCAAGCAGTCATCCTCCCATGACCTCCTATTAATAATATTAAATCATCTGAACCATGAAAATGGGATGGGGTGCCTTTTCAATTATTTAGATCTTTGTTAATTTCCTTTAATAATATTTTGTAGTTTTCAGAGTTTAAGTTTGACATTTCTGACCGGGCACAATGGCTCATGCCTGCAATCCCAACACTTTGGGAGGCTGAATGTGAGGATTGCTTGAGCCCAGAAGTTCAAAATCAGGCTGAGCAACATAGTGAGACTCCCATCTCTACAAATTAAAAAAAAAAAAAAAAAGTTTGACATTTCTTTTGTTGAATTAATTCCCAAATATTTTCTTTTCTTTGATGCTATATAGTGGAATTATTTTTGAAGTTTTATTTTTGGGTTGTTCATTTCAAGGGTACAGAAATATAATTAATTTTTGTATATCCTATAAACTTGCTGAACTTGTTAGTGTTAGTTCTAATGGTTTTGTGTGTGTGTGTGTGTTTGTGTGGGTGGGTGGGTGCCTTAGGATTTTCTATATACCAGATCACATCACGTGCAAATATAGATGGTTTTAATTTTTCCTTTCCTATCTAGATATCTTTTATTGCTTTTACTTACCAAATTACCCTGGACAGAACCCCCAGTATAATGTTGAATGGAAATGGCAAGAGCAGACTTCCTTGTCTTATTCCCGATCTTAAGTGCAAAGCTTTCAGTCTTTCACTATTAAGTGTTATCTGTGGGTTTTTCATAGATGCCTTTTATCAAATGGAGGAGGTTCTTTTCTAATCTTATTTATTGAGGTTTGGTTTTGTTTTTGTTTTTAAATCACGACAGGGTGTTAGACATTCTCGAACGCTTTTTCTGCATCTATTGAGATGGCATAATACATTAATTGATTTCAGATGTTAAAAGACCTTGCATACTTGGGATTAATTCCACTTGGTCACAGTATACAGTCCTTTCTATATGTTGCTGGATTCAGTTTGCTAGTGTTTTGTTGAAGATTTCTGTGTCTGTATTCATAAAGGATATTGATTCATAAAGGAAAAGGATAGTTTCCTTTTCCTGTGATGTCTTTAGTTTTGATATCAGGGTAATACTAGCCTCATCAAATGAATTGGGATGTGTTCCCTCCTCTTCTGTTTTTTGTAAGAGTTTGTGATAACTGGTATTGATTCTTATTTAAATGTTTGGTATAGTTCACCAGTGAAGCCATCTGGGAATGGGCAGACTCTACCTTATTGCTATTACTGATGAGTTTGATATTACCACCTGATATGGTTTGGCTGTGTCCCCACACAAATCTCATCTTGAATTGTAACTCCCACAATTCCCATGTGTCATGGGAGGAACCTGGTGGGAGGTGATTGAATTATGGGGTAGATCTTTCCTGTGCTGTTCTCAGAATAGTGAATAAGTCTCACAAGATTGGATGGTTTTAAAAATGGGAGTTTCCCTGCACAAGCTCTCTATTTGCCTGCTACCATCCATGACTTGCTCCTCCTTGCCTTCCGCCATGATTGTGAGGCCTCCCCTGCCATGTGGAACTGTAAGTCCATTAAACCTCTTTTTCTTCCCAGTCTTGGGTATGTCTTTATCAACAGCATGAAAATGGACTAATACACCACCTCATGAGACCTTGTGCCAGTTATCAATGTATTGTCTCTCAGGTCCAAATTCATCCTTCACTGACTGCTCTGAGAAAATGGATCTGAGCCTTAAATTTTTTTTCCTTTGTTCTCTTTCGTGATGATATGCTTTATAGGTAGAAGGCCCTGAAGAGGCGTTTCAGGAGGAATGGGTTTTGCTTCCTGGTCCAGTTGTGCTCACTGGCACACTTCTGCAGCACAGCAGCTTCTCCAGCATCTGTTCCTGCTTTGATTGGTGGCCAGAAACACTCAGCAGCCAGCAGTGTTCCTTAGCACCCTATTGGGCAGTTTTATAGCAGAGGCTTCCAGGAGACCCCTCCCCATGAATACGTTTCCTCAGCAACGTAAAAGTGCCAGAAAATTCTAGAGGGTGGATTTATAGGAAGTTCCACTGGAAGATTCCCAGTGACTTCTTGCCATTTAATGAGCCACAGCCACACTCTCTTCAAAAGGGTCTCAATCTGCCCTGGCTGGAGGCGAGAGGCTCCTCTTTGGGAACTCTATCACAGCATTAGAGTAGCAGCTGTTCCTTATATCTGCTATTGCTATACTCTTTAAAGCTCTCTAGTTCTTATTAGCCAGTGCTTCATTATTCTAATACCCTGTTATAGCTAATAATTCCTCATATATTAAACTGTCTTTATTCAAATGAGCATGGTTTGTCTTCTGATTAGACCTTGACTGATGAAGATATCTTAAGCTTTTCCATGGATCCATCTATGCCTGGACCTTGTATATAGAAGGAATTCAATGAATACAGTCCCTTAATAGCATCATGACACACAGTTTTCTTATGTAGTTGTCACAATTTCAGGCCCTTTCATCCTTACATTTATTGAGCAGTTATTGTCTGTGTTCAGGAATCTTGCTGTGTGGCAGGAGATAAGAGGAGAGAATCAGTAGCTAGAAGAATACAACAGCTAAAGTGGCCTTGGTGAATAGTCCAGAATGATAAAAAACTTAGATCACTAAAAAAAATTGCATGAGATGACACTGCAGAGATAAGGTAGAGTCAGATGATGACAGGCCTTGACTTCTATTGGGACAGGCAGTTTGCTGTGGCCTTGAGCATCTCTGCATGTGCTTGCGAAGTATGCCAAACACAAGGCCTAACTTTCCCCTAATACTGAACCATTTCTAGCTAGTCACATCGGCATTTAACTAGGTTAAGATGACCACAGCATAACTACCATACAACAGCTCACTCCCTCAGGGAAGGAGGCTGGTTGGTTTGCCACTTGCTACAAAAGATGCTAGGCCCTTAGCCCTGGATCCCTCAGTCATGGTGCAAACCACTGCATGTGCAACCACTGTCCGGGCCCATTGCATTTACTCCATAGGACTTGAGGACAGGCCAACCAGTGCTACCTTGCTGGTACTCCTACTGTATGCTGTGTTGAATAATAAATTTCTTCATCTGATCCACCAAATCTCATCTACATTGGTACCAATGGAGTTGTGGCTGGTGAACCTGCTTTCTTGCTTAGTCGTCTCCGTTGGAGTCTTGTTATTTCTTGCTATTCTCTAGGAGGTTGGGGCTCTTCTCTAACAAAGGGTGCCATGACACAGGCACACACACACACTACAAAATGAAAATAAACATGAACTAGAAAGATGTTTCCTTATTCAAGAAATGCAGATAAATGGCAAAGCTGTTGGAAACCAGAAAACCATGTAATTTTGAGTATTTAAAATCAATCCTGTATTGTGATACACTAAGACCAAACTTGAATGTTATTCCACATAAGAATCTAGCCAACAGAATGTAGTTCAGATTTGGGAAATGATGGTGAGGAAACTATATTTTATGGAATTGCTAATACATTTAAAACAGTAGTTGGTAAGAAAAAAGCGTGTTCTGGGCCAGGTGTGGCGGCTCACGCCTGTAATCCCAGTACTTTGGGAGGCCGAGATGGGCGGATTACCTGAGGTCAGGAGTTCGAGACCAGCCTGGCCAATGTGGCGAAACCCCGTCTCTACTAAAAATACAAAAATTAGCCGGGAGTGGTGATGTGTGCCTGTAGTCCCAACTACTTGCGGGGCTGAGGCAGGAGAATCGCTTGAACCTGGGAGGCGGAGGTTGCAGTGAGCCAAGATCAAGTCACTGCACTCCAGCGTGGGCAACAGACCAAGACTCCGTCTCAAAAAAAAAAAAAAAGTGTTCTTTTACTTTTTACAATAAATCCTGTTTGAGAAGTTATGATCCTTGTGTAAAAATATCTGTAGCAAGTAGTCTGTCATTTGTGCAGTGATAACTGTGGGCATTTATGTTTTTAGATTAAATCCTGTATTTGAATAAAGATGTTAACAATACTTTCATGGGCTTTTATGGTTAATTTCAGTATGTAAATTAGCATGTAGTTCATTTATAATTTTAGAAACTAGTAAAGTAAAAAATATTAAAGATTCACTCAAATTATTACTTCCTTTGTAACACCTATCCTAACCCCTGCCTTCCTTCCATGTAGAGACAACTATTTCATCCTCTGTACCCTCAGGGCTGACACTCTATTCAGGTTGTTGCATCCACCTTAACACTTGCTATCTTCATGTGGAGAGAGTGAACTCCCCCAAGGGCAGGGACCAGGACTCAGCCGCCTCCCCAGCTCAATTCCTGGCTGAAAGCAAATGCTCAACTAGTGTTGGTTAAAAGGAACAAATGCCCAACCTCACCAGTCGGTAAAGAAAAGCAACCGTGAGATGCCACGTTTCTAACTTCTAAACTAGCAAAGATTAGTTATGAAGAGGAAGTTCTGGGAGGAGTCCAGAAAGCTACACTCTGGTCCAACCTTTCCAAAGGTCAATTTGGCAATTTCCCCATATGTCATACTAATGTTGTGTAACCCCAAATTCAGTCTCATGTACCTGATGCAGAGCTGAAGCCAAACGCTAAGACACAGGTGCTTGGAGATAGAGAAAGGTTTGTTCAATTGGGCCAAAGCAAGAAGGCGGAAGAGCAAGATCTCTCAAATGTTACTTAACAAAGAGATGACAGCAGGCGTTTTTATGGGGTAGGGTGTGAGGGAGGGTTTCCGGGAACAGAGGGGAAAAGTCTGTGCCTCTACAGTCTCAGATAAAACTTTGAGCAACCAGACTTATGGGTGTCAGCAGCTGGTCAAAAAGTCCTTAATGGCATTCATTCCTTCTGCAAAATATTTTCATGACCCTGAAGTTATCTCTCCTGCTAGACAAAGAAACAGGACAACAGCAGTTTATAATTATATTGTGGGAACAAGAGATATTGGGCAAAACGGGAGCGCTTACTATGTGCATGCAGGCAAGGGCCTGATCAGAATTTTCACTACGGCCGGGCGCGGTGGCTAACGTCCGGAATCCCAGCACTTTGGGAGGCCGAGGCAGGCGGATCATTTGAGGTTAGGAGTTTGAGACCAGCCTGGCCAACATGGCGAAACCCCCTCTCTACTAAAAATACAAAAGTTAGCCAGTCATGGTGGTGCATGCCTGTAATCCCAGCTACTTGGGAGGCTGAGGCAAGAGAATCGCTTGAATTTAGGAGGTGGAGGTTGCAGTGAGCCGACATCGTACCACTGCACTCCAGTCTGGGCGGCAGAGCGAGACTTTGCCTCAAAAACAAAAAACAAAACAAAACAGAAAAAAAAAAAACACCAAACGGAATTTTCAATACTTCAGTTACTAAAAATGCCAGACTACTTAAATCTCAAGGGGCCTGGTTACACTCCGAATGGGGAGACGTAGGCCAGAGGCACTGGAAAGGTGAGCAGTCTCGACTGCTTCGGCTCGAAACCAGTAAGCCTCTGAAGAGAACGGGCGTAATCCACCTCGCGATTGGCAAGGAAACACACGCACCCGCAGAGGGCAAAGCGCGCACGCCGCCTGCACCGGGCTCTGGCCTCCTCTGCATTCCCCAGTCGTTGCACTTTTCCCACTTTTATAACCAGGAGAGGAGGCACGCGCTGCCCGAAAACGCGAACCGCGACCCATGGGACGCTAGAACCGACCCGCGCGCCCTCGACGGCTTGAAGCCGGGTTCGAGACACTCGTTCGCGGCCTAGGGCTCCCGCCGCCTAGGACCGGGTGCTCACTCTCGACAGGGCGCAAGACCGCCAGGTGGCGAAACACCTCCTCGGTTGCGCGCGGTCTGGTGGGCAGGCTGCGGTCCCGCGTGCCCCACCCGCTCTGGGCGTGTCAGGGTGGTAGGTGTTCAGGAGTGGAGCCCCGCCCAGCCACCGCCTTCGGGTCCCGGCCTCCCTGTTTCATCTGCCTTGACCCGCGAGAGAGCTACACCGCTCGCCACGTGCGGCCTCCACAGGGTAGTGGGCCTCATAGGACTCAGCCGCTAGATCTGGGCCGAGTTTCCTCCAGAGACTTCACTACCGACATGGGGTGTATCAAAGACGGTCCAGAGAACATTTACCGACCTGCCTGTTTGCCTGGCCGGAATGTGAGGTCCTTGAGCGCCCTTGAGCCATGGCCTTGGGCCTGCCAAGATTGAGGCAGGCGTGGTCACCGAATACTTCTGGAGTGGGGAAGAGAGCACAATTTACGCTGTCCCTGCCACAGGAGCTCCCACTCTTGCCAGGGAAACTAACCTGGAGGTGGGAGCTCCTTTTATTTGTTGACCTTTTTTTATACCCAGGGGAAAATGGCTTGCCAAATTTGGAGGGTGTGTTAGAGATGATCTGTCTTAATCATCCTAAAAAATCTAAAAATTCGGCCGGGCTTGGTGGCTCATGCCTGTAATCCCAGTACTTTGGGAGGCCAAAGTGGGCCTATCGCTTGAGGTCAGGCGTTCAAGACCAGCCTGGCCAGCATGGTGAAACGCTGTCTCTACTAAAAATACAAAAATTAGCCAGGTGCGGTGGTGCACTCCTGTAATCCTAGCTACTCGGGAGCCTGAGGCAGGAGAATTGCTTGAACCTGGGAGGCGGAGGTTGCAGTGAGCCGAGATGGTGCCACTGTAGTCCAGCCTGGGCGACAGAGCGAGACTCCGTCTAAAAAAAAAAATCTAAAAATTACGTTGGAAGCAGGTGCCTCAAAGAGATGAGCAGTAGAAAGGGAGGGCCGCTAAAGGCAATCGGTCAGTCACGGCCTCCCAGACCCTAGGAATTCTACCACTGCTGGAGAATCTGATCAAGCACTAATTGAAGGTTCGAGTTGACAGAGAAAACGGTGATTTAAAATAGAACCCCCAAAGTCAGATAGATGATTGGAATCTCTTTGGGTTTGGAATTCAACTGCTTCTCACGTGCGCAACTAAGTGTGCTCCAGGGAAATTTGAGTTACTGATATTCCAGGCCATGTAGGGCTATCGGAAGCATGTGAAATATGTATATTTGCAGGGGGAAAAAGTCTAGGGAGAAATACACACCAAAGGAATACATTCGTTCATTCATCAGGTATTACCTATTTCATGCCACACCTTGGGCTCTAAAGAATCAGAACTACAGTGTAGCAAGGGAGAAAAACGGGCAAGATTAAAACATCGTTTATTTTCTTCTTTTATTTTTCTCTGTGTTTTCTAAATGTGACTAGATCTCTAACAACCAAGAAGGTTTTATTTATTTTGAAAAAAACTACTTTTCCTGTTAAAAGGTCAGCCACTCTTCTGAGGGCGGAGTCGGAAAGAAGGTCCCATGAACCCACCTAGCGTCCAATTTCCCTTTTTTTTTTTTTTTTGACAGGGTCTCACTCTGTCCTCCAGACTGGAGTGCAGTGGCACCATCTAGGCTCACTGTAACCTCCGCCTCCTAGGTTCAAGTGATTCTCCTGTCTCAGCCTTCCGAGTAGCTGGGATTACACGTGCGTGCCACCACGCCCGGCTAATTTTTGTATTTTTAGTAGAGACAGGGTTTCACCATGGTGGCCAGGCTGGTCTTGAACTCCTGACCTCAAATGATCCACCCGCCTCGGCCTCCCAAACTTCTGGGATTACAGGCGTGAGCCACCGCGCCCGGCCCCAGCGTCCAATTTTCAAAGCCCCTCTGCTCAGCTTCCAGAGATCCCAAGAAACTCTTAAGTGGAAGTATCTCGTATCCCCACGATGCGACCGGTCACAAAACACGCGACCCGAGACACTGGAAGTGGAGGCTTTTCGATGGACCAAGCTGCGCGGTTTTCATACCGACCCGCGGCCAGGCTGTCAGATAGGTGGCCGGCCACAATCACTGCCACCTTGGACAGGGACCCGTGAGCTGACGGCCATCAAGCTTCATAAACTGGTCCGAATCCAACGGACCGCTACTGCCGGAAACGGAAAGTCCTCAAGGGCGGGTGTTGGAAGCGGAGCGGAAGCGGAAGGCGGGTACCGGAAACGGTGTTTGGTGGAGCCCGCGATGGCCGAACCTGCGTCTGTCGCGGCTGAATCTCTCGCGGGCAGCAGGGCGCGCGCTGCACGCACAGTACTAGGTCAGGTGGTGCTCCCGGGTGAGGAGCTGCTCCTGCCGGAACAGGAGGACGCGGAAGGCCCTGGGGGTGCAGTGGAGCGACCGTTGAGCCTGAATGCTAGAGCGTGCTCGCGGGTGCGCGTTGTATGCGGTCCGGGCCTTCGGCGCTGTGGGGACCGCCTGCTGGTCACCAAGTGCGGCCGCCTCCGTCACAAGGAGCCCGGCAGTGGCAGCGGCGGCGGTGTTTACTGGGTGGACTCTCAGCAGAAGCGGGTGAGCTGGGACTCCGGAGGGGTGGTGCGGCAGTGAGAGTGGTAGCCCTGCTTTGAGAAGACCTCCCAAAAGAAGAGAGGGACCCTGAGGCCCTCTTTTGTTCAGGCAAACCTAGAGCCACCGTAGTCTTGTGCCCACTTCTGCATGTCCTTTAGAGGGACCGTGAACAATAGGAACATAGCCTGAGAAGGGCGACCAGGAGAGAAAAACGTTTGGAGACCGTGAGTCATGATTATAGTCTTCAAAACCCCACAGCAGGCCTGCCGTTTGGAGTCTCAGAGGGCAGGACTAGGCTCAATGAGTGGATGTCATAGGGAGTTAATTTCTCCTAGAACAGGTAAGAATTTCATATAGAAAAAATTGTCTATGGAATGGGCTTCCTTGGTTGTAAGGATTCCTTTGCCACTGGACTTATGCCACAAAGCTAGAGACTTACTGGTTGGGGTGCCTAAGAGATAATGGAGTTTGGACTCAATTAACAGACTACCAGAAGCTGCACACCCGGCACTTTATGAAGTGATTTTCTTTTACCGAAAGTGGCATTTGATCAGATTTCTCTTTAATGACAATAAAGTAACCACAAAGGACTTGCTGAAGGTATCTTCCAATGGTATCTTGTCATTTATGGCTGTTTTTTCATTCTGTTTCTTTTTGTAGTATGTTCCAGTAAAAGGAGACCATGTGATTGGCATAGTGACAGCTAAATCTGGAGATATATTCAAAGTTGATGTTGGAGGGAGTGAGCCAGCTTCTTTGTCTTACTTGTCATTTGAAGGTGCAACTAAAAGAAACAGACCAAATGTGCAGGTAATTACGGGAGCCTTTGGTTTCAAAGAAACAAACATCCATTCCCTAGAACACTCACATATCCAGAAGGCTATCTGAATTGTCTCCAAAGCATGACCTAGATCTCTGAGCTTGTATATAATTGCCCCAGGCTCCAAGAGTTTCTTCAGATGCTCCAGGATCAGAGCCACATAATTATTATTATTATTTTTTACATTTACAATTTATTTTACATTGGCTACATTTGTTCTTGGGATGTTTCATTTCTACTGAGTTGAAAGGTTGTATCTATCATCGCCATTATTTGTTATGTCCATATCCTCTGGACAAGGATGTCTGCTGTAGGCTTAGAGGAGGGACAGGTGGTGCAAATTGACATTATCAGCTATCCATCCATCCTGGCTGTAGGTCCTAGGAGCTGATAGAGGAGTAATATTGTTACCTTGGGTTTTCAATTTGAGCTTTTCAGGTAGCATAGCCACACTCTTCTTGTCTATCCAGCCTGAAATTTAGTGATTTCTTCACCTCTTCTCATTCACTTCTCATGCAAATTTAGTTGCTTAATCCTATTTTGATCCTATTTGATTCTGTCTCTGATCTTTGGCATGTCCGTCCCTTTATCTCCACAAGTTCAGGCTTCAGCTCCCTCTTGACTGGTCTCAGTCACTTCTTCATTAATCCCTGCCTCCACGCTTTTACCTCACCATCCAGGATTTTGAGAGCTGACATCCTCACACGGTCACTTTCTCGAAAAGACAAGATTCTCCAAAATCTACAGAATTCCTTGGCATTACACTCCAGGTGTCTTTCCTCATCCCTAATTATATCCTTCATACAGCCATACTCAAATCACACCAAACGCCATTAAACTCAATTTCCTGCCCTTATTTGCACATGCTGTTCCCACTGTCTTGATTGCACTATCCCTTCGCACCCTATGGAACACATTCTCATTCTTTGAGACGTAGGCTAAACATGACCACCTCTGTAAAGCCATCTCTAGTTGCCACTTTTCTCGTATCTTTGCTCTAGCACTTACTGGATTGAGCCTTGACTGAGGTTTGTTTATATGTACCTCCCCACTGCCCTCCAAGACCAAATGCTTCTGAAAAGCAGAGAATGTTTTGTTCCTTTCTAGTTTACATAGTCACCAACAAACAGTAGGTACTTAATACGTTTTGTTGAGTGAACAGAATGAGTTCACTCTCCATTTCCTCAGTTTCGTCCCTTTGAAGTTTAGCTCTATGAGGTTTTTAAGTAAATCCTGCAGGGAGAAGTGTCAGTGAATTATTGTTTGATTTTGCTTTGAATAATTTGCATGCCGGAGTTCCTTCCTTTCTCTGTAAATCTGTAATTCTCTAGGGTAGTGCGACCTAATATAACTTTCTACAGTGATGCTGTTTTGTATCTGCACTGATTAGTATGGTAGCCACTAGCTGTTGAGCACTTGAAATGTGGCTAATGCAACTCAGGAAATTAATTTTAAATACCTAATTTTAATTTAAATGTAAGTTTAAACAATTGGCTATCTACCATATTGGACAGTGCAATCCTAGTGTTCTCTGGCCTTGAGATGGCTCCTCGTCTGTGATTTCCTGATTGGTGAAAGGGAATGATACATGTGTTCCTTTTTTTCCCCAAGACTCAACTCCAAAGTGACTGTGGGAATCCTATAGTGCAGTCAGTCCCTTAGCCACAGAACTGTAGGTGGCTGGCATTGATGCCTGTGAGAAAGAACCAATAGTAGCACCTGTAGTTTGCTGAGAGGAAATGAACTGGTTTTTAATATCATTGTAGGTTGGAGATCTCATCTATGGCCAGTTTGTGGTTGCTAATAAAGACATGGAACCAGAGATGGTCTGTATTGACAGCTGTGGACGAGCCAATGGAATGGGTGTCATTGGACAGGATGGTCTGCTTTTTAAAGTGACTCTGGGCTTAATTAGAAAGTAAGTCCTGATGTCTGCTGGCTTGACTGCTTTTTATAATTATACATTCTTGGAAAGTTGGTTAATCTTCAGGATTCAGATTCTTTGTAACGTTTGAATTTCTCCTCAGAGTTAGAAATCAGTATCCATTTTAACACATTTGGAAACTCATGAATTTAATCCTATCTTCTTGGAAACATATCAAATTCAGATGTGTTTGGCTGTGTAGTTTCTGGTGGGCTGATACTTCATGCCTTAAGCTCTTACTCTGTATTCATATCTTCCTTCCCAGGCCTGTTGCTTATTTGACTTAGCCCAAATGTGAAAACTGGCCTTTCCCCTGTTCTGAGTCACTTGAATACAGATGCAGTCTGCAGTTGTATAAAATTATCAATTTTTTCTAATTATGGGGGTCACACGCAGCTTAGATTGTGATGTTCAAGGTTATGTAGACATTCACAGAAGGCTTCTGACACTTGGTCATACTGAGGCATACTGAGGTTCATGCTGAGGCAGATTCTCTTTTTGGTGTTTAGAACTTTACCCACCCAAAGCTGTGCCATATTCAGGGGCTTTACTCCTAGAGCCAGTGAAGTTGAGAGCTATCTTGTATGCCTCTCCTTACTACATATCCTAAAGATCTGGAGAATTAAGTTTGGACATCAGAGAAGCATGTTTTTAACCAAGAAGCATGTTATTAACCAAGCACCACCCTTATGGTTTGAAAGAGCCAATGTTCCTCTCCAAGTACTGAATTTAACACAAGAGAATAATATGGCCAGGAAAATAAGTTTAAAGTGTCTTAACACTGTAGATAAAAAAAGTTATGATTCCCAGTCTAGAATTAAAGTGCTCTGACCATCTAGGGGAATGACTTTTACAAAGTTGGTAACCTAGGGAGTTTGATTTCTTTGTAAGGCATAGCCCACCTCTGTGATTTCTAGTATACCTTTGAACAGTGTAAAGTTCCTTCTTGGAAGAAAGGAGGCAGCAAATGTCATCACGTGCCTTGTTCTTGTTGAACAGCTATGGAGAACTGCTCAGAAAAGGAATCACATTCTAAAGGAGACTCCGGACACACCTTTGCCACTTCATTAAATTTCATTTTCTTTTCTCTTCCCACCAGGCTATTAGCTCCAGATTGTGAAATCATACAGGAAGTGGGAAAACTCTATCCACTGGAGATAGTATTTGGAATGAATGGAAGAATATGGGTTAAGGCAAAAACCATCCAGCAGACTTTAATTTTGGCAAACATTTTAGAAGCTTGTGAACACATGACGTCAGATCAAAGAAAACAGATCTTCTCCAGATTGGCAGAAAGTTGATATAGGTGGACTTTTTTACAGGTCAGTTGAGGCAAAAAACTATGGGTTTTTTCAGGTGAACCTCCCCCATTTAAATACTCAGAAGATAAGGTGTGAATGTATGTATTATTAGAGTCCGAAAGTATTTTTATAAGTTACTGGTTTTCACCCACGCTTTTGTGGGAGAGAAAATCATTGCAAAATCATTTTTTTTGTTCGGTACAATAAAGTTTACTAAAAAACAGTATTAGGGTTTATTTGGAGTTAACTCCCTTAGTAATTGCTACAGCTTCCATAATTAACTGGAGGTCAGCAGTAAAATAATTTTGTGATTATAACAGTAAGCCAGGTTCACCAGAGGAAATGTGGAATACCTAAGTATAAAGCAGCAAAGAAATGTCACCTGTAGTCCCATTATTCAGCGGGTGAGTATATAACAACGAAATACTTTTTCATTTACCAAGTATTGTGTTTTGCATGGATTAACTCCTTTATTCTAACTGCAGAAGACACTTATCCTCATAATTGAAACTGAGGCACAGAATTTAACTTGGCCTACATTCTCTATATTCATCAAATTGAAATTATAGTTATTATAGCTTATATGCCACTTTGTAATATACTTTTGTCTACTTCAAACAGCATGATACATTTCACAACTTTAGTCACATATTTCATGTTACAGGATATTTTTGAGTTTTATCATTATATAAATAACACTATGAGGATTTCTGAATCCAAATCTGGCCAAGTCTTATTTTGCTAAAATCATTTCCTAGGAGCTAAGCATAGAAAACTCTTCTATGCTATTTAGTATATTAACCAAAACCTTTAGAGGTAAAGAGACTGCCAGGTGATCCACATCAGTGATTCTTGGTTTCTAGACCTCTGAGAATATGTGAGATACAGATCCCCTGAAGCCTATCCATAGAAAGTCCTTTTTGGATCAAAGAGATTATAGAACTCTATTTGTTGATAAAGACCAAGGAGCTTCGTGTGTTTCTAATGTTTTCTAAGGACTGGATGGTTTTTAGTTCAATAGCTTTTAGGGGTACAAGTGGTTTTGGATTACACGGATGAATTGTATAGTGGTGAAGTCTGAGATTTTGGTGTACCAGTCACCTGAGTACTATATATTGTACCCAGTATGTAGTTTATCCTTCCCCCTTCCCTGTTCCGGGTCTCCAGTATCTGTTATACCACTCTGTGTGCTTACCTGTAGCTTAGCTCCCACTTAAAGTGGGAACATTTGGTATTTGGTTTTCCATTCCTGAGTTACTTCACTAAGAATAATAGCTTCCAATACTATCCAAGTTGCTGCAAAAGACATTTTTTATGGCTAATATTCCATGGGATATATATACCACACTTTATCCATTCATTGGTTGATGGGTACTTAGGTTGGTCCCATATCTTTTATTATGAACTGTCTAGCCAGTTTTTAAATAGAAAAGTACTGATTAGGTGAACAGTTCCTTAGGAATTAAATTGTGAAGGGGAGGGGACACAGCAGAGAAGTAATCTGTTGGTTCTTTTGAGATATTGAATACATGTCCCAAATTTGCTAGCTGCTTAACTAGCAAGTTAACCCAAACTGTCAGAGTAACTGAAGCAAATATGTCCAACTGGGACATAAGGAACATGAGATTTGTGTAATAAGTAGGTTATCTAACGTGTTCATGTGTCTAACACTTTCTAGCTATTTTCAAGACAGACTTAATCAATACTGTGTTTGCTTTCCAATTTAATCTGTTACAAATACATATGAAGAATCTAGTTGGTACAGGCTCAGGGAGGATAGAAAGATAGGTACACAGATTTGTCCTGTTAGGATCCTACCATTAGGAAGGATTAGGAAGAGAAGCCCTCCATGCCCATACTCTGCAAGGGAGAACAAGGTAAGAGCCACAGGAGGGAACAAAATGCTATGGGGACTCAGTAGGGATAGGTCAGAACAGGCTGGATCCTGCAAAGCTTATTACTGAGCTGGGCAACAACGAGCATGATCAGACAAGGCTGGAGAAAGTCATACAATTTTATGATGCCAGTTTAGTGAATATTAAACTCTTGATGTAACCATTTAAACAATTTCAAGAGGTCTCTCACAAATAGATGTACAAAAGTTGAATTAGCACGTCCAAAGCCATGTGGTTTTGAGGCTAATTCCTTGTTACATAATTTTTTTTTTTTTTCCCCTCGAGACAAGAGTCTGGCTCTGTCGCCCAGGCTGGATCTTGGCTCACTACAACCTCCGCCGCCCGGGTTCAGGCGATTCTCCTGCCTCAGCCTCCTGAGTAGCTGAGACTACAGGCACGCACCACCATGCCCAGCTAATTTTTGTATTTTTAGTAGAGACGAGGTTTCACCATATTAGCCAGGCTGGTCTGGAACTCCTGACCTTGTAATCCACTCACCTCAGCCTCCCAAAGTGCTGGGATTACAGGCGTGAGCCACTGCACCCACCACATTAACTTTTTATTACTTAACATATCTGAGCACTTCCTGTGAGCCAGGCACTATGGGAGATTAAAAAGCATTAAATGTGGTCCCTGACATTATTGTGAAGCTCTGAGAAGATGTCATGCAAAGACACTTGCCTATGTGCCACTGCCACCCTCTGCCCTGCTCTTTGGGTCAAGGTACCTCCAAGCGCCTCACTCCTGCAGCTGCATTTTTTTTTATTTATTTTTTTTTTGAGATGGAGTCTTGCTCTGTCACCCAGGCTGGAGTGCACTGGTGAAATCTCGGCTCACTGCAACCTTCGCCTCCCGAGTTCAAGTGATTCTCCTGCCTCAGCCTCCCAAGTAGCTGGGACTACAGGTATGCGCCACCACACCTGGCTAATTTTTGTATTTTCAGTAGAGAAGGGTTTCACCATGTTGGCCAGGCTGGTCGTGAACTCCTGACCTCAGGTGATCTGCCCACTTCGGTCTACCAAAGTGTTGGCATTACGGCGTGAGCACCTGGCCACGCAGCTGCAATCTTAGGCCCATCATTCCACTGAGTTCCGAAGAATATAGCCTTTTCCTGAAGAAACTCCTTTCTTCAATGCTTCAGGCCAGTTGTGAGTCTCTAAGTAAGTGGACAGGATATCAAACACTGTTAGAGAGTAAACAGAAAACACAGTGACCACAGAGGGAAAAAAAGAACGAGTAAATGAAAAGGATGTTCTGTAATATTTCGTTCAACAAACCTATTCTGCACCATATGTGGTACTAAGGTCTTGCGGGGAGAGGCAAGGACACAGGCTCTGCTTGCTCTCAAGGACCTCAGCCTACCCTGAAAGATACAGGCCTATGAATGGATAGGGTGCAACAGAAAGGAACACAGTAAAATGGGAAACAGAAGGGCTCTGCTGTGGCCTGGGATGGGGAAGGGCCAAGATGCTCCTGAACTGAACCCTGAAGATCAAACAGGAATTCAGTGGTGAGAGGTTAAAAGCTGGGCATTCTAGATGAAGGGGACAATTTTTTTTTTTTTTTTTTTTTTTTTTTTTTTTTTTTTTGAGGCGGAGTTGCACTCTTGTTGCTCAGGCTGGAGTGCAATGGCACGATCTCAGCTCACCGCAACCTGCACCTCCCAGATTCAAGCAATTCTCTTGCCTCAGCCTCCAGATTAGCTGGGATTACAGGCGCCTGCCACTATGCCCTGCTAATTTTTGTATTTTTAGTAGAGACGGTGTTTCTCCATGTTGGTCAGGCTGGTCTCGACCTCCCGACCTCAGGTGATCTGCCCACCTCAGCCTCCCAAAGTGCTGGGATTACAGGTGTGAGCCACCGTGCCCAGCTTTTTTTTTTGTTTTTGAGACAGAGTATCACTGTCACCCAGGCTGGAGTGCAGTGGTGTGATCTCGGCTCACTGCAACCTCCACTTCCCAGGTTCAAGTGGTTCTCATGCCTCAGCCTCTGGAATAATTGGTATTACAGGCGTGCACCACCACGCCTGACTGATTTTTGTATTTTAGTAGAGATGGGGTTTCACCATGTTGGCCAGGCTGGTTTCGAACTCCTAACCTCAGGTGATCCACCCACCTCGGCCTCTGAAAGTGGATTACAGGATTACAGGTGTGAGCCACTGCACCTGGCCAAGGGGACAATTTCAACTATCTTTAACATAGTTGGTGACGAAGAAAACAGAATGCCTCTTAGTGGCCAGAATATATGTCATGACGTACATGCAATAAAGTCCACACACATTAGTCACAGAGGAGACTGACTCAAAGGCCACTTAAACACAGTGCAAAGCAGCAGCACCAGAACTCACACACCCTGGATGGGGGCCGTGTAAGAAGTACCTTGATTGATGGCCAGTATCTCTGAATGATAGTTTTTCCCATTCTGGTTTCTGACCATGTATTCCTGGATTGGCAAGCGTGCGGTCTTGACAGAGTATTCCCGGGCCTTTTGAAATGTCACCTTCTGTAAATATATAGTTAAATATTTTTCTTATAAAAATTATACATGAGTATATTCTCAATGTAATACAGCATTAAAAATAAGTAGCCTATTGTGGAATGGAAGAAACTGCAGATAATGAGTTAACTGTCTCAAGAGCTTATGTGACAATATCTTACTTTTTGGGGGGTCACTCATCCACAGTCCTCCACTCACTGCCACTTAGAACCAAGAGGGAAATAAGCAAAAGAGGCACATCTGCAGCCACAGTAGGCATCAAAAGGCCCAAGCAGTCTAATCAATCAGAGCACATTCTGAGCCCTAACTCAGTAAGACCCAATTCTGGATATCTGGAACTTCCAGCTCATTGCCAAAAGGCAGCATCAAATTAGAGGAAAAGGTAGACAAGATTCAAGACAGGTGCACCACTGCAACAAGTGGCATTAGGGTGTGAGAAGAGAGAGCCCAATTAAAAGAAAGGGGCCAGGTGAAGTGCCTCACACAACACTTTGAGGCCAAGGCCAGAGGACTGCTTGAGCCCAGGAGTTCAAGACCAGCCTGAGCAACATAGGGAGATCCTGTCTCTACAAATAACAAAAAAAAAATTAACAGGGTGTGCTGGTGTGTGCCTGTAGTCCCAGCTACTCTGGAGGCTGAAGTTGGATGATCACTTGAGCCTGGGACATATATCAAGGCTGCAATGAGCTGTGACTGCACCACTGCACTCCAGCCTGGGTGACAGAGGAGACCCTGTCTCAAAAATATAAAAGGGCGGGCTCTGAAAACTGCAAAAAGGAGTCACAAGAAGTCCATCAACTTGAGGCCATTTAGTGTCAGAGTACAGAAACTGATGTCCCTTTATAAGATGTTCCTTAGTCATGAAGTCCCTCAGACTGAGTCATGACTCAGTCAGATTACATTTGCTGCCTTGTAAGAAGCACAGGAAAGATTTTCTACCTAAGACTTCAGGATTAAAGAGAAAGGTTCAGATTACTGGGATAATTAACATGCCAAGGCTTGGAAGGGGTCTCAATAGTGTTAACTGTATCACTCTAACCACCCATTCATTGTCTGTTCTCTATGACTTCTCCAAGAGGCCATGTGGCCACTCAATGGACAGCTCTTGTGACAGGGAGTTCATGCATCCTGGGACAACCCACTCCAGTTTTGATAGTACCAGCTGATAGGAAATTCTTCTTGATCTTGAGCAAAATTCTGTTTTCTTTGAGACTTCCACTCATTCATCCTAGGTCTATTCCCCCAAGGCCAAACCATGCAAGTAAGATGGCCCTTCCAAAAGATGGCCATTCAGAAACTTGAAGGCAGTGATCATGCCCCTAGGAATCCTCTAGTCTCCAGATTGTAGCCTCAGTTCTGTCAACTCTTCTTTGAATTTCAAGTCCCTTCATCATTCAGGACAAGTTGAACTTGTTCTAAGCTAGTCCAGTATCATTTTGTTTACGGTCCCATAACTGACTGGCCATCATGAGTATGGTCTAACCAGGTGGAATAGTGTGAAGTGGACCTAGTACCTTTTCGGTGCTGACACCTGCCTCACATGAAACAAAATTTTAGATAGAACTTCCAAAAATGTTTTAAGCGATACAGGGACTTATTTGAAAGGATAAAACTCCTTTGCATATATGAGCTATATGATACGTTTGTTTTATAAAAAGTCTTATTCCTTTATAATCACTTTGAAGTACAGAATTCAAAATTAGGATATTTGGGTGTTGCCCTAGAAGAGCTTACAATTTAGTTTATGTTCTTTGCACAATGATTCATAATAAAATGACTCTCCTTGAAGAAATGTTGTTCTTAGCTTATTTCTGTGAAGAAGCCAAACTCCAATAACAACCAAAAAGTTCTAAACATCTCACAAATCTTCCAGTTATTTTTCAGTTTAAATGTTGGTGGACAGATAATATGTTAAAACTGCACATCTGTAAGTCATGCACTGCTCACTGACCCTCTGAACTTAACTGCCTCAAAAAAGGGACTGTTGGCCAGGCACCGTGGCTCATGCCTGCAATCTCAGCACTTTGGGAGGGTGAGGCAGGTGGGTAACTTCAGCCCAGCAGTTCGACACCAGCATGGGCCATACGGTGAAACCCCAACTCAACAAAAAATTAGCTGGGCATGGTAGCGCCCACCTGTGGTCCCAGCTACTTGGGAAGCTGAGGTAGGGGGATCAATTGAGCCTGGAGTAAGCTGATTGTGCCACTGCCCTCCAGCCTGGGCAGCAGAGCAAGGCCCTGTCTTGGACGGGGTGGGGGCGCTGTCACCCTGCTGCAGGTAAGACTAATAAACTTTTAATTATTATTATTGTTGTTTTTTTTTTTTTTTTTTAGAGACAGGGTCTCACTGTGTTGCATCACCCAGGCTGAAGTGCAGTGGTGTGACCACAGTTCTCTGCAGCCTCTAACTCTTGGGTTCAAGTAGTCCTCCAGCCCTCCAGACTTTGTGTGTGTATGAAACAGAGTCTCGCTCTGTCACCAGGCTGGACTACAGTGGTGTGATTTCGGCTCACTGCAACCTCCGCCTCCCTGGTTCAAGAGATTCTCCTGCCTCAGCCTCCCGAGTAGCTGGGACTACAGGCACATGCCACCACACTCAGCTAATTTTTATGTTTTTAGTAGAGACAGGGTTTTCACATGTTGGCCAGGATGGTATCGATCTCTTGACCTTGTGATTTGCCTGACTTGGCCTCCCAAAGGGCTGGGATTATAGGCGTGAGCCACCACGCCCGACCCTAACTTTTTACTTTGAAGTATTTCAAACCTAAGAAAAGTTCAAAATAATACAATCAATATTCATTCCTGTAATCTAGACTCACCAGTTGTTAATATGTTGCTTTTTCTCTCTGTATATAAATACATATTTTGGGCTGGACAGGGTGGTTCATGCCTGTAATCCCAGTGTTTTGGGAGGCTGAGGCAGAAGGATTGCTTGAGGCCTGGAGTTCAAGACCAGCCTGAGCAACATCAAGAGACTTCGTCTCTAACAAAAATACAGAAAAAAAAAAAAAAAATTAGCTGGCCATGGTAGCATGTGCCTATAGTCCTACGTACTCAGGAGGCTGAGGCGCAAGGATTGCTTGAGACCAGAAGTTCAAGGTTGCAGCGAGCTATGATCGCACCACCTCACTCAGCCTGGATGACAGAACAAGACCTTGTCTCAATAAAAAATAATTTGCCAAACCATTTCAAAGTAAGCTACAGACATCACAATACTTCTTCACTAAATACTTAAGCATGCATCTAAGAACAATGACATTCTACCTTACCACAATACCATTTTCACTTCAAAGAAAACTTTTAAATCTGTAATTTCACTTAATACACAATCTACATTAAAATTTCCTAAACTTTCCCCAAACTGTTTTTTATAAAGCTTTCCTCTCAATACAGAATTCAAACAAGGCTCACATACTGCATTTGGCTATTACGGTTTTTTAACCTTTTCTTCTTTTCCAAATTGTTTTGTAGAGATAGGTTCTCAATGTGTTGCCCAGGCTGGTCTCAAACTCCTGGCCTCAAGTGATCCTCCTGCCTTGGGCCTCCCTAAGTGCTGGGATTACAGACATGAGCCACTGTGCCTGGACGAACCTCTTTTAATCTGTAACAGCCTCCTGCCTCGGTTAAGTCCAGTCCAGTTGTTTTGCAGAATGTCCCACATTCTGATTTGTCTGTTTCCTCACAATTAAATTCAGCTTAAACATTTTCTGGGCCAGATGAGGACTCATGCCTATAATCCCAGCACTCTGGGATGCTGAGGTAGGAGGATTGCTTGAGTCCAAGAATTCAAGGCTGGACACAGTGAGACCCTGTCTCTACAAAAAATTTTAAACACGAGGCTGGGCACGGTGGCTCACACCCGTAATCCCAGCAATTTGGGAGGCTGAGGCAGGAGGATTGCTCGAGTCCAGAAGTTTGAGACTAGTCTGGGCAACAAAGTGAGACCCTGTCTCTAAAAAAAAAATTTAAGAACTAGGCCAGGCACAGTGACTCAATGCCTGTAATCCCAGCACTTTGGGAGGCTGAGGTGAGTAGATTGCTTGAGTCCAGGAGTTCAAGACCAGCCTGGAAAACATGGTGAGAACCTGTCTCTACAAAAAAATATAAAAATTAGCTGTGCATGGTGGCACACACTTGTAGTCTCAGCTACCCAGGAGGCTGAGGCGGGCGGTTCAAATGAGCCCATGAGATTGCGGCTGCAGTGAGCCATGATCGCACCACTGCACTCCAGCCTGGGCAACAGAGTGAGACCATGTCTCAAAAAAATTAAATTAAAAACTAGCTAGGTGTGGTGGCATGGGCCTGTAGTCCTAGCTACTCAGAAGGCTGAGGTGGTGGGAGGATTGCTTGAGCCCAGGAGATCGAGGTTGCAGCAACAGAGCAAGGCCCTGCTTCAAAAGAAAAAAAAAAAACATTTTCTGTCAAGAATACTACACCTCAGGAGGCAGAGATTGTACCTGTATGGGTGATACTAAGTTTGATCAAGTTTGGATAAGATGGTGACCACCAGAATGCTTTACTGTAATGTTAAATCTTTGCCTTTGTTATCTGTAGGGTGATACTTTGAGACCATGTAAATAGCCGGTTCCTCCACAACCTTTCTTTCAACTGAGTCAACAATTGTATTAGGAGTGACAAAATGATGATTTTCTAATTCTATTATGCATTCCTTATTAGCTGCATTCTTCTGTAAGTAGCCCCTGCTCGTATTTTAGATGATCACTATGGAGTCATGGAACACTAATATTTTTTAAATAAATTCAATTAAATTAACCTATCATCTGTGTTAAATATACATACATCTCATACATACAGGAACATAGATAGAACACATCTACCTCTACCTATATGTAAAATATACCCACAAACACATACTTTGTGATCATATAATGTCTCAAAGAAGGATACACAAGAAAACTTGACATCGGTTGCCTCAGGGGAGGGGAATTGGGAGACAAAGGTAGGAAAGACTTTCATTCTACTCTTTTATATTTATATGTTAGTCTTTAACTTTTATTAAACTTATTATCTATGTAATATGTTAGTAAATATAAACAATTATCTTAAACAGCTATATAACAAACATTTCAAAATTCCAGTGACACCCCAATTATTCCTCTAAAACTCCAACAAAAAAAATCTGGATAATCCTAGGAGTTTGAGGTTTTGGGCTAAGACTATTTCAGCAGAGAGATCAACCTTAGAAGGAGCAAACTACTCCCTCAAAGAACAGCTAGTAAGAATGTTGAGTTGATGCTTACTTGGTCAATATCAGAGTTATCCTTGCAGAACTGAAGAGAGAAACTCAACAATGGCTATGTAATTACCAAACAGTGCCCAGTCCAGTTCCCGACTCTTGATTTCGCTGACATTGCTCATGAGGAGAGAGGGAACTTCACCAGCCAGAGGGCCAACCTGGTGGGGATGGCTCTTTCTTCCTGTTCCCTCTGAGTTCTTAGACCCTCTAGAGGAGACTATAACAGGGCACATGCCTCTAAAAGTAAGCACTGCTTTTTAAAACAGATGTTGGGGCTGAAATGTATACTTACCTTCTGAATGCTTTCATCCACAAGCCCACCGAGGATGTAAACTTTGTTTAGATCAACATCTTCAAGAGCTAATGAAAAAATGAAGGCCAATGAGATCAAATCTGTTTTATAATTTCTAAATCCAGAGAAAGCAAAATGAAAGAATTATTAACAATAAAAGTAGAAATTCAGTAGAAAACAAAAAGAAACTTGCTCAATAAAACCAAAAGCTAATTTTCTAAAATGGCCAATAAAACAGACAAACTGTTGGCATAGCTAATCACGAAAAAGGGTAGCAGACCCAAATCAACATTAGATTCAGAAAGGAAACAAAACTGCAGAAGAATGTGAAATAATTAGATGAGAATACTATGATCAACTGAATACCAATACATTTTAAAATTATGTGAAATGAATGATTTTCTAGGAAAAAATAGATCTAACATTGATCCAAGAAGGGCTAGTGGGGTAGCAGACCAAGGACACTGGGAAAGACTGGCAGGCACTACACAAGGCCCAGATAAGGATGGAAACCCTAAGTCTGCAGCTGTGAGCCATGGTAAGACACATCGAAGCATCCAGTGAGGCCCCTGCCTGTAAGAGGAGCACTGCTCATGTGCATTACTTTTTGTGGGGGTGGGGAGGGGTGTCCTTCTTGAGGGGCTTTAATAAATTCTGCCACAGGGAATAATGAAACACAGGAACAATGGGCTATACGAATCCATGCATTCAACTACATACCGTGTTCTGAGTCAGGAGTCAGGTACACAAGGGTTTCCAAGGGAAATAAACTAAAGCAGTCTTCTTCTGTTATGTCTAACTGGAAAATGCAAACAGTCTGATGTTAAAACAGCTCACGGCTGGGTGGGGTGGCTCACGTCTGTAATCCCAGAACTTTGGGAGGCTAAGGTGGAAGGATCACTTGAGCTCCAAAGTTCGAGACCAGACTGGGCAACATGGTGAAACCCAGTCTCTACTAAAAATACAAAAAAATTAGCCAGGCATGGTGGCATGTGCCTGTAGTCCCAGCTATAATACTTAGGAGTGAGGTGGCAGGATGGCTTGAGCCCAGGAGGCAGAGGTTGCAGAGAGCCAAGATCATGCCACTGCACTTCAGCCTGTCTTTAAAAAAAAAAAAAAAACCCCGCTCAAAATTCAACGACTAGTTACTGGGCTTCAAGTTTCTATCAGGCATGGCTCTAGGTTTATCAAGGAACTGCACATGTGACAGCTTGACAGCTTCTCAGAAAGTACCTAGTTAGGAGGGAAAGTAGACACAGACGTTCAAACCTATGAAATGAGACAGCGATATGGGGTTCTGACAGAGGTACGGGGAGCATGCTCCAGGACTACAGATGAGGGAGTAACATTGGGATGACCTGGGGAAGGAAATGCTGGAACTGGGTTTCTGAAAGGAGATTTTTTTTTTTTTTTTTTTTTTTTTTTTTTTTTAAAGACAGGGTCTGGCTCTGTCACCCAGGCTGGAGTGCCGTGGCATAATCTAAGCTCACGGCAACCTCTGCCTCTCAAGCTCAAGTGATCCTCCTGCCTCAGCCTCCTGAGTAGCTGGGACTACAGGCGCGCACCACTGCACCGAGCTAATGTTCGTATTTTTAGTAGGGACGGGGTTTCACCATATTGCCAAGGCTAGTCTCGAGCTCCTGAGCTCAAACAATCCACCTGCCTCGGCCTCCCAAAGTGCAAGGATTACAGGAATAAGCCACCGTGCCCAGCCTCAAAATAGATTAATATTGACATACACAAAAGGAGAAGAACTCAAAGCTGAGGGACTAAGAAAGGCACGAAGACAGGAAAGTAAGGGAACTATGTGGACCTGTAAAAAGGACTGTTTGGCTTATGTAAAAGAATCATTAAAACAACTACATAGAAGAAAACTGGAACTAGCTGCACTACAAGAGAGACTGTGAAGACAGTAACAGCAAAACAGCTGGCTGTGCAGCCCCGCGCAATGCACCCTTCACATTCATCACTTCCATGGACCTTCCTGGGGAAGGTCACAACTGCTCAGTCTCAGCTACACAATGCAAACACACTGGGCATTTTCAGTGACATTTGAGAAACTCATTTGGATTCTTGCATGTATATGTATCACTAAATGTATGAGATCCTAGAGAGAGGTGAAAAGTACCTTAGTACTCCCTAAAACTTATCTTAAATTTGCATTACTTCATAAAGGGATTCCTTCTCTTCCCCCAAAACTCATGTTTCCCAATTCACCATTAATGAGAACAAGAAAGGAGTCATGGCATTTCCCAAAAATATTCCTGGAGTATACAGTCTAGCATAAATATACGGGATACAAAATACAGTCCTAGACACTGGTAACAGTACTTTGCCAATGCAGTAGGAGGATGAGAAAAAATTTTAAATTTAAGAACTTATGAGAGGTTCTGAATTTTTTTAGACTTCAATACTGAAAATGTAACATATATGAAAAAGTAAAAAAAAAATACTATTAACCACAATAACTTTTCAGATGACAATTCAAATAATATGCAAAAAGAGACTTACCAGGTAACTAGAAAATCCATCATTCATCCTCACACACTCTTCATAAAGGGGACTGTCTGTTGTGAATCCAGTGAGGCAGATCCAAAATGGCCTGTCAGCTTTTTTGTTTGAACCATACAACCTTCGAATCTGTCCAGCCAGTCTACTTAATTCCTTCAAAGAAATAAGAACAACTCAGGGCAAAAACATGCCAACTCACTCTAAATTAGCTATCAAGAAATGGCTACAATAAGTTCACTGAACGCTACTCCAGAAAACCCCATGTACTAGGAGTACATGTGTGCGTGTATTATACCTTATGGCATCACACCTTACAGACAAAAGATAATGATACAAGTCCAGAAACAGTGAGGTAGTGGAAAACGGAATTCGCCCTCCTGCTGGCCCTGCTGTTAAATGTTTAATATATGAAATTCTTATTTTAGCTTTTATCTAAAATCTTATGTAATACTATTTAAGTTATTAAAGAGGTTTCATTAATATACATAAATGTTTTTACAGAACATCATATAAATTTGGTACCTTCTTCCTAACTTCAGGAGATGCAATAGGGTTGGAAGTTTTAACTTTTTACCCTGAATCACAGACAATGCTCTTATATAAAAGCAATTTCACAATTTGGCTTGATTTGTTGGGTAGGAGAAAAAGACTCTGGGTTTGATTTAATCTGCTATCTTAATTTAACAATATGGATTTTTTTTTTTTTTTTTTTTTTGGAGACAGGGTCTGGCTGTGTTACCCAGGCTGGAGTGCAGTGGTACAATCATAGCTCACTACAGCCTCAAATTCCTGGGCTCAAGTGATCCTCCTACCTCAGCCTCCTGAGTAGCTGGGACTACAGGTACAGGCCACCATACCTGGCTAATTTTTAATTTTTTAGAGGCAGGGTCTTCCTATATTGCCTAGGCTAGTCTTGAACTCCTGGCCTCAAGTGATCCTCTTGCCTCGGCCTCCCAAGATGCTGGGATTATATGCAGGAGCCACTGTGCCCAGCCTAATAGTAGGGAATTCTTGGTTAACATTTTCAGAGGACTAGAGTTAGAAGTTTCAGGTAGGAACCTCAGATCTGCAGTTTTCCTAACTTATCTGAAAAATATGCAAACACTAGCACATAAAACAGATGTCTAAAAAGAGAGTTTACAATTTACATACTGTGATGTAAGGCCTAAAATTAAGGCCCAGTATTATGCACTGCCTTGACATCTGTCAAAACTGGGAATACTTCAAATAGCCTAATAGTAAGCTCCCCTCCCAACTCTGCTCCCGTAGATAAGGTCTCCTAGCTTTAAAAATCCTTTTTATACAAAATCAATGTGCAAAAATCACAAGCATTCTTATACACCAATAACAGACAAACAGCCAAATCATGAGTGAACTCTGATTCACAGTTGCTTCAAAGAGAATAAAATACCTAGGAACCCAGCTTACAAGGGATGTGAAGGACCTCTTCAAGGAGAGCTACAAACCACTGCTCAATGAAATAAAAGAGGATACAAACAAATGGAAGAACATTCCATGCTCATGGGTAGGAAAATCAATATCATTAAAATGGCCATACTGCCCAAGGTAATTTATAGATTCAATGCCATCCCCATCAGGCTACCAATGACTTTCTTCACAGACTTGGAAAAAACTACTTTAAAGTTCATATGGAACCAAAGAAGAGCCTGCATTGCCAAGTCAATCCTAAGCCAAAAGAACAAAGCTGGAGGCATCATGCTACCTGACTTCAAACTATACTACAAGGCTACAGTAACCAAAACAGCATGGTACTGGTACCAAAACAGATATAGACCAATGGAACAGAACAGAGCCCTCAGAAATAATGCCACATATATCTACAACTATCTAATCTTTGACAAACCTGAGAAAAACAAGCAATGGGGAAAGGATACCCTATTTAATAAATGGTGCTGGGAAAACTGGCTAGCCATATGTAGAAAGCTGAAACTGGATCCCTTCCTTACACCTTATACAAAAATTAATTCAAGATGGATTAAAGACTTAAATGTTAGACCTAAAACCATAAAAACCCTAGAAGAAAACCTAGGCAATACCATTCAGGACATAGGCATGGGCAAGGACTTCATGTCTAAAACACCAAAAGCAACGGCAACAAAAGCCAAAATTGACAAATGGGATCTAATTCAACTAAAGAGCTTCTGCACAGCAAAAGAAACCACCATCAGAGTGAACAGGCAACCTACAGAATGGGAGGAAATTTTTGCAATCTACTCATCTGACAAAGGGCTAATATCCAGAATCTACAATGAACTCAAATTTACAAAAAAAAAAAAACCCATCAAAAAGTGGGCAAAGGATATGAACAGACACTTCTCAAAAGACGACATTTATGCAGCCAAAAAACACATGAAAAAATGCTCATCATCACTAGCCATCAGAGAAATGCAAATCAAAACCACAATGAGATACCACCTCACACCAGTTAGAATGGCAATCATTAAAAAGTCAGGAAACAACAGGTGCTGGAGAGGATGTGGAGAAATAGGAACACTTTTACACTGTTGGTGGGACTGGAAACTAGTTCAACCATTGTGGAAGTCGGTGTGGCGATTCCTCAGGGATCTAGAACCAGAAATACCATTTGACCCAGCCATCCCATTACTGGGTATATACCCAAAGGATTATAAATCATGCTTCTATAAAGACACATGCACACGTATGTTTATTCCGGCACTATTCACAATAGCAAAGACATGGAACCAACCAACGATAGATTGGATTAAGAAAATGTGGCACATATATACCATGGAATAGTATGCAGCCATAAAAAATGATGAGTTCATGTCCTTTGTAGGGACATGGATGAAGCTGGAAACTATCATTCTCAGCAAACTATCACAAGGACAAAAAACCAAACACCGTATGTTCTCACTCATAGGTGGGAATTGAACAATGAGAACACATGGACACGGGAAGGGGAACATCACACACCAGGGACTGTTGTGGGGTCGGGGGACGGGGGGAAGGACAGCATTAGGAGATATACCTAATGCTAAATGACGAGTTAATGGGTGCAGCACCAACATGGCACACGTATACCTATGTAACAAACCTGCACGTTGTGCACATGTACCTTAAAACTTAATAATAAATAATTAAATACTTTTCATCAAGGGTCCAAGGCATAATCTCTTTATCCCTAAGGAGTTTTGGTTCCCTGCCAGCCCATGGAATTTTCCTAACAAGCCAATCACATCCTCCTATAGTAACCAGGGGGCACCTCAACCCCTGGATACTACAAAGCCCACCTCACACAGCCCCTTGCTGTTCATTCTGTTCTTGATTACAATCCCCACGTGGCCCTGTATGGTATACAGTATCTTCCTCCCCTGGGCTGTAAGTATATGAGACTCATGAACTGCTGTGAATCTCATCTGTCCAGTGTCAGGTGTCATGCATTCTGCCATTCCCAGAACTCTAGTGTGGGAATCCCTCTTTCATCAATGAGGTGAATGAGCATCAATTAAAACACATACATTGAGGCCAGGCACAGTAGCTCACGCCTGTAATCGCAGCACTTTGGGAGGCTGAGGCAGGTGGATCACCTGAGGACAGGAGTTTGAGACCAGCCTGGCCAACATCGCAAAATCCCGTCTCTACTAAAAATAGAAAAAAAATTAGCTGGGTGTGCCAGGCGCAGTAGCTCACAAGGTCAGGAGATCGAGACCACCCTGGCTAACATGGTGAAACCCCATCTCTACTAAAAATACAAAACCTTAGCTGGGCATGGTGGCAGGAGCCTGTAGTCCCAGCTACGTGGGAGGCTGAGGCACAAGAATGGCGTCAACCCAGGAGGTGGAGCTTGCAGTGAGCCAAGATTGCACCACTGCACTCCAGCCCCGGCAACAGAGTGAGACTCTGTCTCCAAAAAAAAAAAAAAAAAAAAAAATTTGTCAGGCGTGGTGGCAGACGCCTGTAATCCCAGCTGCTCAGAAGGCTGAGGCAGAAGAATTGCTTGAACCCAGGAAGCAGAGGTTGCAGTGAGCTGAGATTTTGCCATTGTACTCCAGCCTAGGTGACAAAAGCAAGACTCCATCTCAAAAAAACAACAACAAAAAACACACACATTGCAAAAAGTTCTTCCACCAGGTAATCTTCCCACAACATGCTACCAGGCAAATATTCCTCTTCCCAAAGGTTTAGTGTCTGGAAAACTGAACCTGAAAGGTTCCATCCAGACTGAGGATATCATGAACAGAGAGGCAAAGATGTTGGGCTTAAAACAGAAGACAAGGTAAAAATTTGCAAACTAAACCAAACTATATATATTCTCTTCCAGGTTCGTTACAACAGCCACCTTGGAACTTAGTAACCCAGTATAGAAAATCAAACACTTTACTAGTTTACTAAGGAATCCCAGAAGCTGGAGTTGACCATATTCTTCGGAAAGCTGTACCCTTCTGGGCCTCCCTCATGGCGAGCAGGAATTCCAGGCTTAGTGGATGTTCTACCTTCTTTGACATGTAGTGGGTCATACTCAAATCGATACATAGTCTTGGTCCTGAGTGTTTGGCTTCCAAAAGTTTGTCTTTGGTTAGAGCTCTCAGGAAACGTTTGCTGTGCTGGGGGCAAATGCCTAAAGCAGAAATATCAGAAAGAAATAAAAGTGGAAAACCAGAGGAATATTATATAAGAAACAAATCTTAGCCAGGTGGGTATTTTGCATATAAAGAGAAACTTGATACTGATGTAAGGTATTCGTTCATTAGAAGATTTACACAGAGTGGTGAGGAGTATGGGCTCTGCAGCACACAGCAGGGTTTAAATCCAAGTTCAGTTTGTTCATTGATTGGCTACATTATCTTGGGCATAATTATGTTACTTAATTTCTCTAAGCCTCAGTCTCTTCACCTACAAAATGGGAATGATAATAACAGCTCCTCTTTATTGAGGTAATCCATGTAAAATTCTTAGAACTGAACCTAACACAGAATACTGAATAAATATTAGCTGTTGCTGGTATCACTCCTATTCTGAGCTTATAAACACGTTAGTTAGATAGCTTATATTTGAAAAGCAGCCTTAAATTTTTTTTTTTGTTTTTTTTTTTTTTTTTTTTTTGAGACAGAGTCTCACTCTGTCACCCAGGCTCTGGAGTGCAGTGGCTCAATCTCGGCTCACTGCAACCTCTAATCTCCCAGGTTTGTGATTCTCCTGCCTCAGCCTCCCAAATATAGCTGGGACTACAGGTGCGTGCCACCACACCCGGCTTTTTTTTTTTTTTTTTGTATTTTTAGTAGAGATGGGGTTTCACCGTGTTATCCAGGACGGTCTCGATCTCCTGACCTCGCAAATCCACCCACCTCAGCCTCCCAAAGTGCTGGGATTACAGGTGTGAGCCACCACACCCAGCTACAAATTTTGCTTTCTTTGATGTTTTGATTCCCAAGAAAATAGGGCAGTGGGTCCCACATCCCAGATGCTTTTTACTTATACAAAATTCCTACTCTCATTGGAACATGCAGACACGTTTGCTAAAAAATAAATATTATTATACCAACAGTCTCATTTATTGTCACCTGGATTTTCTGCACGATTGGCTTTTCTTCGTTCTTTTTCTTGCTTTCTTTTGCTCTTCTTTGCTGCAACTATCTTTTCCCAGTGTCTCTGTTTTCTCTGGACATTTTTCTTATATTATCCAGAAAACAAAATTGTTTGAGAACTTCATAAGCACCAAAAAAGGAAAATGAACATTAGAAACATTTGCTTTTTTCTTATTTATATATATAGTTTGGAGAGAAAGAGGAAATTACTCTTAAAAACAAACCTAGACTGGATCGTGTTTAGAGAAAACAGAGCCCCAGAAAAAGAGACATGACCTGGTCAAGGTCACAGAAAATTCATTAGTGACAGGGCCTGGAGTTTAGATTTCCTGACCCTTCAGGGGTATATCAAAAATTCCTTTTGAACTTTTCCTATGACTCAAATGGAACTAAAACTTTAAACCAGTTAGCAGAAAATTCATCACTCAGAATACACAAAACTCATTCCGTCTCTCTTTTCACTACCAGTATCCATCTTTAAAACAGGGGTGTCTTGAGACATTCCATCATTCAAGGCCTATGGCCAGGCAATTCACGCACTCACCGAGCACCATGCCGTACTGCCTGTGGCCAGGATCTCTCCCTCCTGGCACTCGCCTTCCGCATCGATCTGCAGAAGCTGGAAGCCTTCAGGAAGTCCATCTTCACCTGTCTCCTCTAGGATGCCTTCTTGCCCCTGCAGCACAGGTGACTCTACTTTCTGAGTACTCCCTTCCAATTTCCAGTCCATGGACTTAGTCCTCTGTCCTTTCCACCAGACTGGAAAAAGGCACAATTATGTGAGCTATTACATTATTTCACTAACATAGGTATCTCCCTACATCCAAATGACAAAGTGTTATTGTGTTACTGAAAGAAGTGTGTAAAATACTGAACCAGATTTACTGGACTGAGAAAAGCATGTGTCTTCCAGATACATGATTCAGCAGAGAAACAGTTCAGTAGTAAGGAAGTTTTGTTTGTTTGAGACGGTTTTGCTCTCGTTACTCAGGCTGGAGTACAATGGTGTGATCTTGGCTCACTGCAACCTCTGCCTCCTGAATTCCAGTGATTCTTCTGCCTCAGCCTCCTGAGTAGCTGGGATTACAGGCATCTGCCACCAAGCCCGGCTAATTTTTCTATTTTTAGTAGAGATGGGTTTCACCATGTTGGCCAGGCTGGTCTCGGACTCCTGACCTCAAGTGATCTACCCATCTCGGCCCCCCAAAGTGCGGGGATTACAGGCATGAGCCACTGCACCCAGCCCCAGATACACTTCTTAGAGGACATGCACAACACCTGACGTCTCCAAGCAATCAATGATTATCCATAGCTGCAGTGACACAGATAACCAAGTTATTTATTGTGTACTTTAAAATGCATGATATGATTTGAGGGTAAGACAGATTGCAAAAGCCACTTCACCTCCCCCATTATGTTTCAACCAGTTTATTTTCAAAATTGTTCCTTTAGCAAATATTTATTGAATACCTACTGTAAGTAAGGTACTGTACTAGAGACATCTTGGGAGAATGTACCAATGTATATAGTAGAGTGACATGAAACCAAGAATTCTTTTAGGTTGTTGGTATGTATCAGTTTTTTTAAACTATGTATTTCCTCCAACTCAGTTGAATACCACTGCAGTAGAAAGCCAGTCACCACTGAAAATGTTTAATATCCCTCAGAAGTGCTGAGGTTGAATACTACAGACAAGCACTCTTACACAACACTTAATGATGTCAATTTCAAAGTGGAGTTCAAAATCTGAACGATATGAGTCAGAAATGCTTTAGTCAATGGTCAAATGTCACAGAACACAAATGATGTGACCATTACCTATGGCTGGTCCTCCGGGTGTAGTCACACAACCACTTTTATGAAAAATATATCTTAAAAAGTGTTAAGTCTATGTAGTATGATTCATGTATATGGTGTTAAAAAAAAACTACAATGAAAAGTAACAATCCACACTCCTATCCCTTCCACCTCTAGTGGCAACCCTTGTTAACCAGTTCTTTTTTGTTCTTTTGGTAATTAACTCCTTAAACTGAAATCATATGCTTACATCATTATTTCATGATTCATCAGCTTTGAATGTATTGACTCCCTATGAAACATAAGAATTCAAATCGCTTAAATCAGTCCGTATTATTACTATTTTTGAGACAGGGTCTCACTGTTACCCAAGCTCGAGTGCGGTGGCACAATCATGGTTTACTACAGCCTCAACCTGCTCAAGCAATCCTCCCGCCTCAGCCTCCCATGTAGCTAGGACTACAGGCATGCATCACCATGCTTGGCTAATTTTAAAATTTTCTGTAGAGATAGGGGTCAACCCCTATTTAAATTACTTATTTTGAGATGGAGTCTCACACTGTCACCCAGGCTGGAGTGCAGCGTTGCAATCTCAGCTCACTGCAACCTCTGCCTCCCAGGTTCAAACAATTCTCCTGCTTCAGCCTCCCCAGTAGTGGGATTACAGGCGCCAGCCACCAGGCCTAGCTAATTTTATTTTTAGTAGAGACGGGGTTTCACCATGTTAGCCAGGCTGGTCTTGAATTCCTGACCTCAGGTGATCCGCCCACCTCGGCGTCCCAAAGTGCTGGGATTACATGTGTGAACCACCGCACCTGGCCTATTATTTTTAATTCTTCATTAGTTATCTTGATTTTGAAATTTGAGATCAAGTTACCTTGATCTTTACATTTTTTTGGCAAAGATTTTAAGGGTACAGTTTAATGAATTTGTGTATGTGGTAAAATATACTAACTCAATGAGCTTTAACAAATGTATAGGTTCTGTGTTACTGACAATCCTGTCAAGATATGGAACGTTTCCATCACCGCAGAAAGTTTTTGTTTTTGAGATGAAGTCTCACTCTGTTGCCTAGGCTGGAATGCAGTGGCATAATCTTGGCTCACTGGAACCTCCGCCTCCTGAGTTCAAGCAATTCTCCCATCTCAGCCTCTTAAGTTTCTGGGACTACAGGCACGCACCACCATGCCCAGCTAATTTTTGTATTTTTAGCAGAAATGAATTTCACCATGTTGACCAGGCTGGTCTCGAACTCCTGACCTCAAGTGATTCACCTGCCTTGGCCTCCCAAAGTGCTGGGATTACAGGCGTGAGCCACCACACCCAGCCTCACTCCCCAGAAAGTTTAACTTTCTTCTCCACTTTCCAAATCAGTCTTCATCCCATTCCCACAACTTGCCAAAGGCAACCACTGTTCTCTTTGCTATAACCATGGATTAGCTGTATCTATTATACAACTTCATATAAATAGATGCAAACAGTATGTACTCTTTAGCACTTGACTTTTTTCCCCTCAAAATATTTGAGACTTATACATGTTGCTGCATGTATCAGTAGTTGCTTTTTTATTGCTGAGTAGCATTCCATTGTATGAATATATCACAATTTATTCTGTTGATGGGCATTTGAGATCTTTTCCAGCTTGGGGAATAAATCTGCTATGAACATTTTCATAGATGTGTTTTTATGGATACATGTTTTCACATCCATTGACTAAGTTTTAAGGTAGAATTGCTAGGTCATAGCATAGGTGTGTATTTAACTCATAAACTGCCATCCATTTCCCAAAGTATTATACCATTTTACACTGCCTGTCAGCAATGTATGAGCATTCCAAATGTTCCACAGCACCACCATCTGGGGACCCGTACACAGATTTCTGGGGCTCCTTTGCTACACCACTCCCTCCCTGCTGTATCCAATCTCAGCAGCCCTAAATTCAACTGTTTGCTCCACCCAGTGACACAGACGTACTCTGTATGGGCTCCGTGTCACTATGCACCCTCAGGTAGAAAGCCAGGGTGACTGTGGGGCTTAGCTTGTGTGTTTCTTTTCCCTCAAGGATTACAGTCTTGTCCTGACTACTGCCCAATACCTGAAAACAATTTCTTCATATCCTTTCTCCAGTTTTATAGTTTATTGTAGGAAGGTAAGTCCAATACCCATTCCTTCTGTCATGACAATTACCAGGAGTCTATTACTTTTAAGAATATTTTAAAACTTCTACTTCTTGTTCAAGTTATAGTATTTCTGACTCCCCAATCTTTAGGCTGTGAACATAAACACCCTTATATTTCTATCTCTGTTCTCCCTTTAATTTTCCAACTGAGCCTTTAATTTTATATGGTCAAGGTAGGTTTTACATTTTGCCCTGACAAAACAATTAAGTGCTTTGTCTATCCCCGTGGTATTTTCTAAAATTTGTAAACCAAATTTGTAAACTATTATTTTTTCAGACAGGGTCTCACTCTGTTGCCCAGGCTGGGGTGCAGTGGTGCAATCACAGCTCACTGCAGCCTTGACCTCCCATGCTCGGGTGATTCTCCCACCCCAGCCTCATGAGTAGCTGGGACTACAGGTGCACACCACCATGCCCAGCTAATTTTTGTATTTTTAGTAGAGGTAGGGTTTCACCATGTTATCCAAGCTGGTCTGGAATTCCTGGACTCAAGCAATCCGCCTGCCTCAGCCTCCCAAAGTGGTGGGATTACAAGTGTGAGCCACTGCACCAGCTGTAAACTGCATTTATATTATAACTCCATAAATATTATTCACTGTAGAGATGGCTAGTGTCCTAGAATTATGTTTTCTTTTCCATTTTGACTCCTGTGTTTGGAAAACATTTCTAGTGTTGAGTTCATATTGCTTTTCTTGTACTCCATCAAATGCTCAAAATTGGGCCAAACTTTAGTTGTTTTCAGTTTAGACACACTTAAAATAGGTTTAAGCGGGAAAATAGCATTCTTAGAATTCAGACACACTTCCCAGCTTGCCACTTGTGAGTAATGGGACAATAGCTAGAGGATTTAAGTCTCTGCCATAGAGTCTCTCCACGAAATGGGATAAAACGACCTCACAGGATTGTTGCAAGAATTAGATACCTTTCACTTACTGATATAAAACAAGTACTCATGAAATACTTGCTGTTAACTACTATTCAAAACCCCTTCAGTGTTGTTCTTACAGTTGCTATTAGAAGGTAAATCTTCTGAGCAGTTTTGGTTATTCATGACTTATCATGTGAACATGTGACCACCAGATATATTCCTGAAGATGACCAAGTAAATTACCTTCTAGATTTTCAAAATTATAGATTTGAAATTTGTGTCCATTTGTCTGCCTAGGCTAAAGTTTATTTCTGCTTAGAAATCCTTTAAAATCCAGTACACATTTTTAAATGTATTTACATACAGACTATCACAAAGAATTAGTGGCATGCATAAAATTTCATAATGTGTATCTCCAGAGAAATGAGGAAAATACCAAGCTGGCTGGGCGCAGAAGCTCATGCCTGTAATCGCAGCACTTTGGGAGGCTGAGGAGGGAGGATCAATTGAGCCTGGGGGTTCAAGACCAGCCTGGGGAACAAAGTGAGACCCCACCTCCACAAAGAATTAGATGAGCATGATGATGCACACCTGTAGTCCCAGCTACTTGGGCAGCTGAAGCCAGAAGATCGCTTGAACCCAGGAGATCAAGGCTCCAGTGGGCTATGATTGTGCCATTGCACTTCAACCTGGGTGACACAGCAAACCCTGTTTCAAAAACAAAACAAAAAATCCAAGCTATTCTTAAACATTTCAGAAGCACTCCACATGAATGAACAGTGAAGTTGATCACAAATTAAAAAAAAAAAAAGTTAAGAGATAGGTCTTGCTATGTTGCCCAGGCCAGTATCGAACTCCTGGCCTCAGGCCATCCTCCCACCTCAGCTTCCCAGTCACTGGGTAGAGATGTGAGCCACCTCACACCTGTATATGTATATATGTGTGTATGTATATGTGTGTGTGTATATATACACACATACATACACACGCATACACACATATGCACACATATATACACATACACATGTATGTATACACATATGTATATATGTGTATATATATATGTGTGTGTGTGTATATATATATATATATCTTTTTGAGATGAGAGTCTTGCTCTGTCACCCAGGCTGGAGCGCAGTGGCATGATCTCATTGCAATCTCATGACTCATTGCAACCTCTGCCACCCAGGTTCAAGCGATTCTCATGCCTCAGCCTCCCGAGTAGCTGGGTCTACGGGCACGCACCACCACACCACGCTAATTTTTTCATTTTAAGTAGAGATCAGGTTTCACCAAGTTGGCCAGGCTGGTCTCAAACTCCTGACCCAAGTGATCCACCCATCTCAGGCTCCCAAAGTGCTGGGATTACAGGAGTGAGCCACCGCACCCAGCCATTTTTTTTTTTTTAAACAAAAGATATCTAGACCCCCATTATGACAGTTCTTTTAGATGAATGAACAGACTTTTATACCATCAGAGTCATCTGCATTTTCCTGCATATAGGCATTCAGAAAATAACAAATGAAAACATTAAGATAAACTAATCTTTAACTGACAACTTCATTGTATTAGGGTGAGAAAACCAACACCCATTTGTTAAATAAATGCTAGTTAATAGCCATGTGATCTCTTCCTCCTTTAAACTTCATAGCATTTTGTATTTTTACCTGTGTTGACCATTCATTAGTTAATAAACATTCCACCAAGCTCCTACTGTATGCCGGGGCCTGTTGGGGAATGACTGGGAGGCAATGGATCTAGAGATTTCTCTGGAGGTAGTCTGGCTAAGGAGGGGAAAAGAGATCTAGGATAGGAGATCCTAGGAGCTACAGACTTCCACTGTTGTTTTCAAAAATTGGAAAGTCTGTGCTGGTATCTTCTCTCCTATCAAACTGAATTCCTTTGTAGGAGGGCTTATACCTACATTTACCTAAACACTTAAGAGTTCACAGTATAGAACCTTGAAAACAGCAGTGTTTATTTTTTGTTTAATTGAACTGAAGTTTACCGCCACCACTCCCACTCCCTTCCTTTCTTTTCCCCTCCTTTTACCTCATGTTTCTCCAAATCTCTACAGTCCCTGAGAATGTTTCTTAAACCAGGAATTTGGGATGCAATAACCTTGCAAATCAAATAAAAACAACTCCAACCACCATCAGAAGAGTAATAGAACAAGCTAACACTCCTGAAGGCGGGGCCCACCTCTTTTGTATCTTTGTATCTCTGTTGTCTGGCATAAGGCCTGGCACAGAATGGAAGCTCAATAAATACTGATTAGGTGATTGCCACCTAGGGATCCTCAGAAAGCAAAGGTGAAGTTGGACATCACAGAAGCAGAGATCTGCTCAATCTGTGTGGGACATTATCTATGCCCAAATTTAGCATTTTTTTTTGGACATAGGAACTACCATTTTAACCATTTGTAAATGTGCAGTTAAAAACACACCTAAGGGCATCCACATTGTGTGCCACCATCACCACTGTCCAGCTCCAGAGCTTGTTTGTCTTCCTAAAGTGAAACTAACTTTAAAAAAAAAAAAAAAAAAAAAGACGGAGTCTTACTCTGTCGCCCAGGCTGGAGTGCAGTGGCGCGATCTCGACTCACTGCAAGCTTTGCCTCCCAGGTTCACGCATTCTCCTGCCTCAGCTTCCTGAGTAGCTGGGACTACAGGCACCCGCCACCATGTCCGGCTAGATTTTTTTGTATTTTTAGTAGAGACGGAGTTTCACCATTTTAGCCAGGATGGTCTCGATCTCCTGACCTCGCGACCCACCTGTCTGGGCCTCCCAAAGTGCTAGGATTACAGGCGTGAGCCACCACACCCGACCCTGTGACCTTTATATAACTCTCCCTTCCCCAATCCTGGCAGCACCTTTGTATTTCCTATCTTATGAATTTGAGTGCTGCTCTGGTTTGAATGTTTGTCCCCTTCTCACATTCAGGTTGAAACTTAATTGCCATTGTAACAGTATCAAGAAGTGAGATTTCATTTATTTTTCATTTCTTCATTAAACATCTTTTCTGAGCCTCCAATTATGGGTCCGATGCTGAATATTCATTACTTTCGTTCAACAAAGCTACTAAGCACCTGACATAATAGTACATCCTGGGGACTTGGGGATGACATTCGTTCTGCTTTCATGGGGCTCCAATTATCTGACCCTGCCTTGCATGACAGCTGTCTACCTGTTTCCCCACTAGATTATAAACCCAGGGAAGAATTGGAAGAATTCACCTGTACACCCTCAGTACCCGAGCCCTGTGAGCATCCTAAGTATTTGATGATCACCACTCTTCTGCTTAGAACCCTGCAGTACTCTCCATTTCACTGACAGTAAATAGCCCAAATCCATACAATGACCTATGCAGATCACTAAGGTCTACCTTTCTCGTTTCCTCTGCACTCCGGGGTCTATTTGCTGTTCCTCAAACATACCCTTCAAGGCCTTTACATTCGCCGTTCTCTTTACCCTCAATGCTCTTCCCTAAGACACTCACAGACTACCTTCCTCTCCTCATTCATATTACTATCCAACATAACCTATTTTACTTGTTGTCGGAACCTCCTCCATCCCTTCAATGTAGGCAAGTGTTGTTTGCTTATAGATGCTTAATAAATACTTGCTGAGTTCATAAATCCTCCACTCCGCACCCCCACCCTAGGTTGGCAGAGGCCTCAGACCTTTGCTAGCCTAACTCCCACCTGATGGGTACCTACACTGCCGCTAAGTGATGGCACATCGAATTCAGCCTGAGAGCACCCCGCCTGCGGGTCTCTCCCGGCCCACAGGCTGAGCGTGCGAGTGGAAGCAGGAAGGGAAAGTATCAGGAAGGTGGAGTACCACAGGCCACATGACTGCTAAACGCTGCTTTCTCAACGTCCGCCCCACCCGCGAGGGAGGCGGACGTCCCAGGACAGACCCCGCAGCCCCCAGCCAGCCCCCTTAACCAGCGGACAGCGTACCTGATCCCCTCACCCCCACGCAGCGGCAGCGGCGCGCATCGGATCCCCCCCGCCCCCGGCCTCGCTTCCGCTTCGTAACTCCGCTCCGAATGGCATTCTGGAAATTGTAGTTTTTCACCTGCAGGGTGCTCGTGGGGCCGAGCCGGAGCGGAGGCTGCGGCTTCTACTCCCAGCCCTGGCGGTAGGGAGCTGCGTCCTGCTGTGGTGGTTGCCCACCTTCTCTGAACCCCTGTCTCCCCGTCTGCTGGACAGCTATTACAACCCCAACCCTTTACCAACTTCACAGGGCTCCTACAGGTGCTCTGTTGGTTGTCAAGGGCTGGACATTGCGAAACTGGGGTGTGTGAAGCAAAAAAATTCTAAGGCCCGCACCCGACTGAATGGACCTCCCTCTCTGCCGAAGGAAACCTTAAAAACTAGTTATGGCCATTACAGGAAGCGGGAGTGGAGCGGGGCGGTTGGACATGCACTGATATTATATCCCATCCCTTGCGGAGTTTAGGCCCAACGGGGACTGACACAACAGAATCTTTGTAGAACTAAAATATCAAATTCCAACCTGATATCATATTGTGTCCGGAAATGGTGGATTCTTGGTCTCACTGACTTCAAGAATGAAACCGCGGACCATCGCGGTGTTACAATTCTTAAAGACTGCGTGTCTGGAGTTTCTTCCTTCTGGCGGGTTCATGGTCTCGCTAGCTTCAGGAGTGAAGCTGCAGATCTTCGCAATGAGTGTTAAATCTCTTAAGAGGGCACACCTGGAGTTGTTCCTTCGCTCTCGGTGGGTTCGTGGTCACACGGGCCTCAAGAAAGAGCTGCAAATACAGATCTTCACGGCGAGTGTTATAGCTCACAAAGACAGTAGGGACCCAAAGGGTTAGCAAGCAACAAGATTTATTACAAAGAACAAAGCACCCACAGTCCAGAAAGGCAACCCCAACGGGTTGCCGCTGCTTGCTCGGGCAGCCTGTTTTTATTCTCCTATCTGGCCCCACCCACATCCTGCTGATTGGTCCACTTTACAGAGAGCCGATTGGTCTGTTTTACAGAGAGTTGATTGGTCCGTTTTGACAGGGTGCTGATTGGTGCGTTAACAATCCCTGAGCTAGACACAAAAGTTCTCCAAGTCCCCACTAGATTAGCTAGACACAGAGTGTTGATTGGTATATTTACAAACCCTGAGCTAGACACAGAGTGCTGATTGGTGCATTTACAAACCTTGAGCTAGATACAGAGTGCCGATTGGTGCATTCACAATCCCTTAGCTATACATAAAGATTCTCCAAGTCCCCACCAGATTAGCTAGACACAGAGTGCCGATTGGTGCATCCACAAACCCTGAGCTGGACACAGAGTGCTGATTGGTGCATTTACAAACCTTGAGCTAGATACAGAGTGCTCATTGGTGTATTTACAATCCCTTAGCTAAACATAAAGGTTCTCCAAGTCCCCACTGGACTCAGGAGCCCAGCTGGCTTCATCCAGTGGATCCAGCACTGGGGCCGCAGGTGAAGCTACCTGCCAGTCCCTCGCCGTGTGCCCACATTCCTCAGCCTTTGGGCGGTCGATGGGACCGGGTGCCGTGGAGCAGGGGTCAGTGCTCGTCTGGGAGGCTTGGGCCTCTCGGGAGCCCACGGCGGGGGTGGGGGTGGGGGTAGGGGTGGGGGTAGGGGTAGGGGTAGGGGTAGGGGGAAGGCTCAGGCATGGCGGGCTGCAGGTCCCAAGCCCTGCCCCGCAGGTAGGCAGCTAAGGCCCAGCGAGAAATCAACAGCAGCGCCGGTGGGCCGGCCCTGCTGGGGGACCCAGCGCACCCTCCGCAGCTGCTGGCCTGGGTGCTAAGCCCCTCACTGCCTGGGGCCGGCGGGGCCGGCCGCCGCTCCGAGTGCAGGGCCCGCCAAGCCCACGCCCACCCGGAACTCTAGCTGGCCCGCAAGCGCCCTGCGAGCAGCCCCGGTTCCCCCTGTGCCTCTCCCTCCCCACCTCCCGGCAGGCTGAGGGAGCCGGCTCCGGCCTCGGCCATCCCAGGAAGGGGGTCCCACAGTGCAGCGGCAGGCTGAGGGGCTCCTCAAGCGTGGCCAGAGCGGGCGCCAAGGCCGAGGAGGTGCCAAGAGCGAGCGAGGGCTGCCATCACTCTGTCACCTCTCAACATGACAGAAAAACAAAAATTTTTTACCCCAAAATATGTTTCATTGCCATAATTTGAAATGGCCCCTGCAAAGCTGTTTTGTGTTGAGGGTGCGGGAGGGATTTGCATCTGTAAAAAAACCTCTATTAACCTAACTAGATCTTTCCCCTCCCAGGCCCTTCCAATTCTGGAGATTAACTGAGTCTAGCACCTTTTTTCCCCTTCGTTAACAGGTGAAACCAAATTTGGACGGCCCATCATCCCACAGCCTTGCCCTTCCCCAGGCTTTGCCACAGCCAGCAGAGCCCTCGAGCTGACACAACCCTTTCCTGAGTACACAACCTCCCTCGCCACTGCCCCAGCCTACAACAGAATATCAGGGCTTTGACCAGGATGATTCTAGCCCCTGGGCACTCTTCTTCCTCCATCAGAGACACGAAGCGGCTTGCCCAAGCCTTGGCCTCTTTATCAGCCACTCTTCCTTCACTCCTGCAGTCCTAAGAGGTCTCACCCATTCAGAGAGACTCCAACCTGAATGAGCCCGAAATATCTCCCGTTCAAGAAACTACAGCTTGGTTGGATTCCTCCTTGGCCCAACAATTCCCCCCTGTGGACTTTTCTTTCCACAGCTCCTCTAGCACCTACCAGCCATCCCCAATCCATGCTCCAATCCATCCATTATCAGCTTCCAGGACGATTTTGTTTTTTTTTTTTACAAATTTTTTCTTTTTCTTAAAAAAAAAAAAAAAAAAGACAGGGCTTCACCATGTTGCCCAGGCTGGTCTTGAACTCCTGGGCTCAAGCGATTCGCTTGCCTCGGCCTCTGAAATTGCTGGGATTACAGGTGTGAGCCACCGTGCCCGGCTGCGATTTTAAAATACTAACACTAAAAATTCATTCCCACCCCCCCAACTCTCCACCCCATAAGGCTTTTTCTTCTTTTTTTTTTTTTGAGACGGAGTCTTGCTCTGTCGCCCAGGCTGGAGTGCAGTGGCACGATCTCGGCTCACTGCAAGCTCTGCTGCCCGGGTTCACGCCATTCTCCTGCCTCAGCCTCCCGAGTAGCTGGGACTACAGGCAGCCACCACGCCCGGGTAATTTTTGTATTTTTTTTTTAGACGGGGTTTCACCGTGTTAGCCAGGATGGTTTCGATCTCCTGACCTCGTGATCCGCCCGCCTCGGCCTCCCAAAGTGTTGGGATTACAGGCGTGAGCCACCGCGCCTGGCCCTCCCATAAGGCTTTTTCTAAAGCCCAGCTTTAACATCTCTGCTCTGCTCAGAGATGGCCCTGGCTTCCGACTGTCTGCTGAAATGCCCCAGTGGGGCTTGCACCATGGCTTAAATGATCTTCAATGACGCCTTCAGGTTTTAGCTCACACCACACCTACCAGTCCCTGCGCCTCACACTGAGCCATACTGAACACTTTCCTCCGCTCCCTGCCACCGCTCTTGTGTCCTTTGCCTCTGAATAAGCTCATAGCCACTTTCCAGTGGGAGGAAAAGACCTTCTAGCTGGTCTCATTGCTTTCCCCAATCCCCACTCCATCTGTTTGCCATATGATTATGTGTCTCTCCTGATGTAAAATCTAACCCCCTGCCCGAGGTCTTGTATTATACAACCCAGCTCCTGCATGCCCCTCCCAGCTTCATCTCCTATCACTCTTCCTCCAGCTTGCTATGTTCCAGTTGCGCTGATCCTGAAATGCTTCAAACACACTGTGAGCCTTTGCAAATACTATTCCCTTTTCTCTCACTTTTCCATTCCTGGCTTCTTATACTTTAGGCCCCAGCTTCAGCATTCCCTCTTCAGAAAGGCCTTTCCTGACGATCACTTTGGCAAGATTGGTTCATTCTATCCCTGTCTTGGCATCTTTTCTTGGTTTCTTTGTATCACCTCTCAGTCAGTAATGGATTTTTTTTTCTGTGTCTTTCCTACAATTATAAGTTCCTTGAGGAGACTATGTCTGCCGTGTTCGTGGTTGTATTCCCAATGCCACTGCATAGTATATATTTGTTGACAATAAATGAATGATTTTTTTCTACATTCTTGACATATCCAAATTCTATCTATCAGATCCAGGACCTGACACACAGTAGATACTCAATAAATACTTCTTGACAGGCTAGTTTTAATTAATGCTGATTTCTGCAGGAAGCTTTCCCTGATTACTACTCTGCCCCTCACTCCAAAATGACTTCTCTCTCCTTAGACTCCTCACAGCACCTTATCTGTTCTCTTTGGAGGCCGAGTGAACCGCGCCTTATGTTGTAAGCCTCTATCTTCACGTGTCACCTAATCTCTCTCAGGAGCTTTTCAAAATATAATAAGATTCTTCCCCAATTATTTACATTCTGCATCAAGCAGATGATGCTGCATCAGGCATCACCTGGCATGGGCAACCCATGAATGTTTGTTGAAAGAAATGAATCAGCCAATGTGATGGTGGGTGGGAAAAGGAAGGAAAGGTGTAAATGTCCCATCGTTTCTTAGTCACTAAACAATTGACCCTTGCATTTCAGGGTAGCAAGTCCCCATTCTGCCTATCTCATGTTGGAGGCTGCATGACTCAAAGAAAGTGCTAAACAGTGCAATTTCCCCTGCTTCTTTAGCTTTTCAACAAACAGTGAAGGGTTTCCCAGCACTTCTGGGACTTAGTTCTCCTCATGGGAACTGTAGAGAAAAATAGCAGCTCCATACAGTAGCAACTCAAGACAGTTAATGAATTTGAGGGGAGGAGAACCAAAGAAAAAGGAAATAAACATGTATTGAGTTCTGAGCTGGAAGCTTCAGTCTTCTTTGTGCCTTCCATGATTATTTATTCTTCACAATAATGCTGAATATATATTATTCAACAATCTCTAGGGTGTTGGCTGTATTAGAAAAATGCATTCAAGGTATCTAAATAAGACATCTGCCACATATTAGGCCCTCATTAAATGAAAAGGAGTATTATTTCCTTTTGCCAGATGGGGAAACTGAGGCCCAGAGAAATGCCTGATAACACAGGCCAAAGCCAGGATTCAAATCCTGATTGAGGCCAGGTGCAGTGGCTCACCCCTGTAATCCTAGCACTTTGAGAGGCCAAGGTGGGCAGATCACCTGGGGTCAGGGGTTCGAGACCAGCCTGGGCAACATGGTGGAACCCCATCTCTACTAAAAAAATACAAAAATTAGCTGGGCATGGCAGCAGACGCCTGTGATCCCAGCTACTCAGGAGGCTGAGGCAGGAGAATCGCTTGAACCTGGGAGGTAGAGGTCGCAGTGAGCCAAGATCGTACCATTGCACTCCAGCCTGGGCAACAAGAGTGAAACTCCATCTAAAAAAAAAAAAAAAAAATTCTTGTTGAGTGAAGTCCCGAGCTCCTCCCCTAAACTTGTGAACACATAGGTTGTGTTTTTACCTCTTCACAGCTTTCTGCTGACAAAAGTTTCAGGTCTTGTTTAACATTAGGCAATTTTTATTATTTTGGTGCCCTGTAGTTCCTATTTTTCATTGCCATGAAATTGCTTCCAATCTGTGTTCAAGAGCCTCATTTAAGTTTTATTCAAAGTATCCTATGAAAAGAAACAGGCCTCTAAGAAAATACGTCTTTTCCTGGCACAAGTACTGGTAACTGGTTTCTAGTTATTAACAACAAGTTATCGGTAACAGGAGATGGGAAGGATGCCTTTTCACGTCTTCTCTCAGGTATTGTTTTCCTTCTGTTTGGAGAGAGCTGAGGTGTGTGACTTCATACTCTCCTTTCTGTTCCTGCTTTTGCTGGGTGGAGGGAAGGAGCCCTAGAGAAGAGCCACAGCGGCAGCACTGAGCTCACACTGGTCAGGAGCACCAGAGGGACAAGGGACTCCTTTAACGAACTCTAATAGCCTAAGGTGAGTGACTAAACCACCTTTGGCCTGGACAGAGAAGCCAGGCAAAGAGGCACCCCAAGGGAGGCTTAAAATCAGTTTCCCTGGGGTCTAAAAACAAAATACAGTGGATGGTTTCAGACTAGAAGAGACGTCCATAAGAGCTGAGGGTTATTGCTAGCATTTATCATCTACTAGATTGAGTACTTGCTGGATTTCTATCCCATAAAATGGGCACTATTAGTATGCCAATTTGCAGAAAAGAAAACCAAAGCACTGAGAGGTTAGGTGGCTTGTCTAAGGTCCACCAGGATGAACTGGGATTAACTGGCTCAACTGGGGTAAGAAAGGTATCCAATATATTTCTTTTGCTTTAATTTTCTTAAAAAGGCAAATCTAATTCAAGGCTTTAATGTTCGGCTTTTTATATATTTAAAACAGGAATAAGGTGCAAGATTCAGGGATGCAATCAATTTCAGATAAAGCACATGTGTGGCCTTGCAATGAAAGAACTTCCTGCCACCTAGTGGCAACCTATGCTTGCTGCAGTGGGGCAGCCAAGAATCCCAGGCCTCCTGGTGCAGGCGCTGCAAACCATAACTTGTGAAGGTCGAAGTCTATCAAATATTACCGGTATTCACTCCTATTTGCAAAGGTTATTGCCAAATAAGTGTGATATGAGAAGTCAAGACTGTTTTTCAGTGACCCCCACCTTTCTCCCTCACCCCTGCCTTCTTGAGTATTCCTTTTGCTTCTACACTCCTTGGGTACGCTCCTTTTATGATAAACACTTTGCTGATAGTGATCTAACTAATCTGTGCCTAGAGAGTCTGTAAGCATCCTGACCAGGGGGAGAGACTTGTCTTACTCATCTGTAAATCCCAAGGCCTGGCACAAAGGAAGTATCCAGTGAATGTCTGTTGAACGAATATAAGTGAATGCTTTTAACCCAAACTCTATGACTCAGGCCAAGATTAAGCAGCAGTTTATTTGAATACTCTATATAGTAAACATTTGAAGAGGGTGGGTGGGAGAGTGGAAGGGGCTTCTCAGGGAAGTGTCCAAGGCAGGACAGGGCAGGAGGCCCTTGGGCCGTTGACCTGTTTACAGGGCCGTGGATGCCCGGAACTTCTGGGTCAAACAGAACACGGCGGCCGTGAGGGCCGTGCACTGACGGGCCAGGAGTTTCACACTCAGGTCGTGGTAGCCTCTCTCGCAGGTCGATTTAGCAGCCTCTATAAACTGATGGTAGGTGTACACCACATCCCTCAGGTTCCCCGCTGCCTCCCTGTGCCGGGCGGAGCAGCGGCTACAGTCTGTGAACTGAAAGCACAGGCCGGCCAGCTGGACCAGGTGCTGGAAGGTGTCACGCACGGCCCCCTGCATCTCTTCGGGGGACTGGTCCATTCTGATCACATGCCGACAGCTCGACAGGAGCTTCTGGGAGCCCATGCAGAGGCGGCTCCGGCTTTCGGTAAAGTGCCAGGTGCACTTCTCTGGGGGATGTTTGTTTCCAACCCCCCAGGAAGTTTCTAAAATGTCTTGTAGCTCCAGCAAGCTCTCCATGAGTTGGATGAAGCCCTCAGGGGTGCTGGCAGGGGTGGCTTTCAGCTGTCTCAGTGCCCTGGAGCAGTACTCTGGCCAGATGTGGCTTTTCCTCGACAGGGGTGCGGTGGTGCAGCTGTGGGCTCGGGCAGGCCTCCAGGGCAGAACCACCGGGCTTCCCGCAGAGGGCGGTGAGGTGAGGGGGGCCATGGGGTGTGCTTCCAAGTCCCTGTCTTCTTCCTCTGTCTCAGGCTGCGGGCCACGGAAGCATGTGGCATAGGAGAACTGACAGCTGCACTGGTCCATCCCTATCCTGGGAGCCACCATCTCATTCATGCCTGCAAAACCCAAAGATGTGGCCACCCTGAGACTGGCAGAGACTTCAGGATGGCTTTCTGGGGCAAAGCACAGAAAAGACTTCTCAGCAGAAAGGCAGATGCTAGAGCTGTCACTTTTGCCTTCTGAGAGTAAGCAATGGTTTGAAGTTTCTAAGTGAGGATCCTCTTGTGGACATGGTAGTGGTTCTGGCAGGGAAGGCTCAGGATTAAAACAGACCCACTCAGGGCTGTCCCTAGGGGCTATATCTTGCCCTGTCACATGGTTAGGTGCCTCTGCCTTGATCCCCTCTGGAGGGACGGCTGGTGAAACTGTCTGCTTCCCAAGAAAGAAATCAGGGTCTAAATCCAACTCTACGAATAGTTTTTGTTCTTGAGCCTGGCAGCCTTGCCCTGGGGGTTCTCTGCTCTGTCCTTGAGGGTCTCTAGGGGGATGTGGTGGGATCTGCTCGGTCCCTGTTACAGGAGCATCTAAAGAAAGGGAGGTTACTATTTTACCAGCTGGAGAGCTAATATCAAGAGTCTGTGAAACATTATTTGACACATCACCCGGGGAGTCACCTGAATCCTTCCTAGACTCCTCCTGAAATACGTTGGTGCCATTTTTGTTTGTAACTTCTCTGTCTCTTTCCAGAGATAGTTGTCCTTGTGGCTCTTCCTTTGTAGGGATAGAAGCTATCTTCTCTCCTGGATTTATTCCACATTCATCACTTCTAGGCTCATCTCTAGGAGACAACAAAGGCTCTGTGTATTTGGGGGCAGTTTCTTGTATATGATTTGTACAAAAAGATTCCAATCCCATTTCCAACTGGACATGGGGCTCCAACTGGAGCTCTAGTGTGTCTCCTTGAGAGACATTATTTAGTCCTGGGTTGCTGGCCAGGCAGGCTCTGTCTGGGTTAGGGTCACCACTGGAGAGGGAGAAGGAGCTGTCTCCATGCTCTATGGTTGGTTCTTTGGGGGCAATCCCATCCAGGTCTTGAGATAGAGGTAAGATTTGGGAAGGCCTTGCCTGAGCAGTATCTGGGCCAGATGAACCTGGGTTAGAACAGTGAGGAGTGCTTGCTGAGGAGCTGGCAGCAGGGACAACACCAGAATTCTCTTTATTGTTGGGGTCAATCCGGAAGCGAATGGCAGAAATAGAAGACACTCGAGAGTCGATGACTGATTTGGTTTCCATGGTCTCGGGCTCCATCTCCATGACCCTGGAGGCTGGGTTTGTGCTCTTGGTCTCCCTCAGAGGAGCCAGCAGCCCCAAGGCCTTGGTCTCCAGAAGGCCAGGCTCACCCTGCATGTCCTGCAGAGAGGACACAGTTGGGGAGGGTGCACCAAGGGCCAGGTAGGGCTCCCTGTCATAGTAGCACACGTCGTCTACACTCTCCAGGGAGGCTGATGGCACCAGGGGAAATGAGACCTGAGAGGTGTAGTCGGTCTGTAGGAAAGACCTTCTTTTCCTCAGGGTCTTGGCATATTTCTTCACCCCTCCCCTCCTGCTTGGCTGTCTTCCATCTGGCCCACAAGGCAGGCTGTTCTCAGGGCTAGAAGTGCTGGCCTTATTCTGCAAGCTTGTGGCACTGGGTTCTGCAGTAGAAACATCTCTGGGCCCTGGGAGTCAGGAAAGAAAAAATACATTAAAAAGCACAAAAAAAAGAGGTTAATAGAGCTTGGGCTCAGGCCTTGGGCTTTCCTGGGTTTAAATTCTGGCTAGGCTGTGTAACCTTGAGCAAGTTCAATCCTGATCTCCTCAACTTCCTCATCTGAAAGATGGGGATAATAATTGTGACAGATTTTTTTTTATTTTTTTGAGACGGAGTCTCTTTCTGTCACCCAGGCTGGAGTGCAGTGGCGTGATCTCGGCTCACTGCAACCTCTGCCTCCCAGGTTCAAGCAATTCTCCTGCCTCATCCCCCCGGAGTAGCTGAGATTACAGGCATCTGCCACCATGCCCAGCTAATTTTTGTATTTTTAGTAGAGATGGGGTTTCACCATATTGGTCAGGGTGGTCTCGAACTCCTGACCTCAAATGATCCGCCTACCTAGGCCTGGGATTACAGGCATGAGCCACCGCGCCTGGCCGACTTTTTTTTTTCTTTTTTTTTGAGACAGGGTCTCACTCTGTCCCCCAGGCTATAGTGCAGTGGTGTGACGGCTCACAGCAGCCTTGAACTCCTGAGTTCAAGCAATCCTCCCACCTCAGCCTCCCAAGGTGCTTGGATTATAGGATTGAGCCACTGCACCCAGCTGTGATAGACATTATTAAATTTTTGGATGCCTAAGATCCATTTAATTATCTTTTGGTCACAGCATCTCAACTTCTGTTTAGGGAATGACATCTCCCCAATGGTTAGAGTCTGCTGGAACTGTTCACGAAGATGCTCTGTCCACGCCAGCCAATCAGCTACAAATTCTCCAGAATTCCAAACCCAAAGACATTAAAAAAAAAAAAAAAAAAAAAAAAAAAAAAAAAAAAAAAGCAGAGCCATTCTTTCCAACCACAATAGCTTGATAATACAGGTAGGGAATCCTGTGACTAGACTCTTAGCCTGGTTGCTGTCTATTTCTGAACCCAGGTCTTCAGGCTTGCCAGCAATTCTATAAACAATCTTACTTCCTAACACTTTTTCTTTGTGCTGATGTTAACCCAAGTCTTTTAGTGCCAATGGTGCCATTCAGTGCTGCCGTGCAGGTTAAAGGAATTAGTGCATTTTTATAAAGCACCCAGCACAAGGCCTCTGCCTCATTAGGTATTCACTAAAAGGAAGCTGCTCGTTATTGCCATTTCATGTCTGAATGTAAAGGGGCCACAACTCTGTCACAGGCATCGAGTTTTGTGCATCCCAGGATGGATCTTTCTGGGAGGAGAGGCACTATTGTAAAGAACCCTTGGGAATCAGCCAGAAGGAATTAGGATCAGAGCCTAGCACTTGAGAATCAGAGAGCTTGGGTAGTCAGACCAGTCATTTCTAACCTGGCTGTATGCTATTAGAAACCTTATCAAGTCCTAGGCTGCTCCCCACAATCTCTGAGGAGTCAGAATCTCTGAGGCTAGGGCCTAGGGATCTATAAGGTTTAGGTTTTTTTGTTTTTTGTTTTTTGAGACAGAATCTTGCTCTGTTGGCCAGGCTAGAGTTCAGTGGTGCAATCTCGGCTCACTGCAGCCTCTGCCTCCCAGGTTCCAGTGATTCTCCTACCTCAGCCTCCTGGGTAGCTGGGATTACAGGTGCACGCCACCATGCCTGGCTAATTTTTGTACTTTTAGTAAAGATGGGGTTTTGCCATGTTGGCCAGGCTAGTCTCAAACTCCCAACCTCAGGTGATCTGCCTGCTTCTGCCTCCCAAAGTGCTGGGATTACAAGTGTGAACCACTGCGCCCGGCCAAATCTATAGTTTTTAAACAAGGTCCCTCAGGTGATTCTGATGCCCAGTCACATTTGACTGCCCTAGGCTACTGACAGCCACCGACCAAGGAGTTTCTAAGTCCCAAAGACAAAGAGGCTCCAATAGTCAGTCAGGGGCCAAATCAGAACCCAGGCTGAGGAATCCTAGTTCTGGCTCTTTTCTCAGCACTACACTGGCTCCCTATAAAAAACAAAAACAAAAACAAAACAGTGTCTGGTATGAACCCCATATGTTCCTGACTAGACTCCCATAAAAGGGCCCTGACTGATGGTTTCTGCCACACTTCCATCCTGCCCCCCGGCACAATGGCTGGCCCTGCAGGGCAAGGCTGGGGCATGGAAAGTGGTTGTCTGGGTACTTTGGGGAGCAGTAAGGAGTCTGGCCATGGTTTCTCCTTTCCTTAGAGGTACAGTCAATTGAACTCAGTGTAGATGGTGGAGACTTCATTCATTCATTTAACAACAATTGCTAGACGCTGTGTGCTGGGGACACAGTGAGAAACACACAGTTCTAACGCTCAAAGGAGTTCTCGGTCTAGTGATGGAGAGAAACATCAACACAGAATCATACAAGTAAATATGTAATTTACAGGCTGTGCGAGGTGCCAGACAGGGAGAGCCCCAGGTAATGCAAGAACATGTGACAGAGATGGGGAGACTTGCCCTGGCCTGGGAAGCCTGGGAAATGTTCTCTGAGGAAGTGAATTCCAACCGGAATCTGATAGACGGATGGGCACCATCAGCCACGATCTGGGGAGGAGTGTTTCGGTCAGAAAGAGCAGCATGTGCAAAGGCTGGAGGAGGGGGAAAAAACAGGCACTTGTAGAAAGTGGCAAGGAGGTCTGTATGGCAGGAATGCAGGAGGAGGGAGAGAGACAGGCAGAGGCCATGTCACAGAGGGCCTCAAAGGGCCTGATGGGGCTCCCAGAGGAGCTGGCCTTTCTCTCCAGAACAGTGGGAGAGCACAGGAGGTCTGGGAATAGAGGATCAGAGAGCAGCAGGAAAGTGCCGAGACAGGAACAAGGGCTGCAGCTCTCCCAGCTCCTGGCAGGTCACCTTCAACATCCATGTGCTCTTTTCCAATATGTTTCCTTCAGAATGCAGTGTGTGTGTGTGTGTGTGTGTGTGTGTGTGTGTGTGTGTGTCCTGCCAGGATCTCAGTTCTGCTTGGAAAGACCCTCCACACTCTCGGTGGAGGAATGTATGAGGAACCTGATAGAAACACAGCCACCAGATCCCCTACCTTCTGATGTCAGGGTCCCTTGGACCCCAGAAGGCCTTGCAGGGCCACAGACGGCCTGTCTGTCTGGTTCTTCTTGCTTCAAGGCCTCCTTTAATGCAGCCTCAGGATCAGTGATGACATAGCCACTTCGCTCTGCCGGGCACTCCTGTCAAGCCCTTTCCTTTTTTGTAAATTCTGTCCCTCCCACAGGGCCCAGCCCATTTGCCCCCTCTTCTGGGAAGCCTTCCCTGATTCCCACTGTTGGATGAATCCCTCCCATCTGCTTGCCACAGTTGTCTGAACCTCCCTTGCAGGCCTGCCACGATGCCTAAAATTTGGTCCATGGAATCTGTATCTACCTCCTCAGAAGTGTACAGGGACCCTGTTTCACTCATGTGCCTTCCTCTCAAGCTTGGCCCCAGGCCTTGATCCCCGGGAGGCACTCAGGAGCTGCCTGCCGTGTCTGCAGACCTGCAAGGGACGGCTCACCTGACGGGGGGCCTGGGGGAGTGAGCTTATCAGCCGCGTCATAGTATTCCTCATCTGAGCTGCCATCCTCAAAGGCCAGTGGTGGGTGCAGGGCCAGGGGTTCCAGCATGGAACTGGGCTGGGCCTCAGTCCAGCCCTGCTGACCCCAGGCTGGCGGGGCTCCCCCTTGCCGGGAAGCTGTACTCTCGGAACTGTCACTCAGGTAGCTGGCCGGGGAGACACTGGAACACAGGCTGTAGTAGTCAGCGTGGCTGCCTTCATACAGCCTGGGGTCCAGCCTGACTGTGCTCAGTTCTGGTGCCCAGCCAAATGTCTCCAAAGCAGCACTCTCGGAAAACTCTGTCTTCTGGCACTGGGGGTTGGCTCTCTGGGCCAGGTCCAGGAGACAGAGGAAGCCACTGGTTTCAATCCCGCTTCTCTCCTCCTGGCTGTCAGAGTCAATGCTCTCTGCGAGGCCTGGCGAGCCAAAGTGGAAGAAGGTGGACCTGCTGGAGGAGCAGGTGTCTAAGTCATCCTCTTCCAGAGCGTCCATGGACTCACTCGAGCCACTGGTCCTGTAGCCGCGGCTCTCAGTGTTGGCTGAGTCGGACGCCTCGGACTCGGCACTGTCTGTCGTGCTGCTGGCCCCGCAGGTGCTGGGGCCCCTCCTAGCCACCTCAGGTGTGGGGCTGTTCCCAGGAGGCTGCTCCTCCTTTATGAGTGATCTGCAGGGTGCCAGTTTCACCAGGCGCCTGTCAGAGAGAGGTTCGAGTACGCAGTCCACCTCAGAGGACTCCTCTGAGTCACTGCAGGCCCTGGATTCATAGCCTGCAACACAGGGTACAGCAACAGTTACACAACAGAATTCTCCTACCTATGTGTCCTTCTAGCCCCCTGACCCCCACCCAACCCTGCCAGACGAGAAAACTGAGGGCCAGAGGGTGGCTGGCCTAAGACCGTCCTATACTGACGAACACGGGATCCGAGGGACTCCAGCTTCCATGTTCTCCCCATGCTATCAGACCGCCTGTCCCACATCTCTCTGAGCTAAAGGAGGCTGGATTAACTCCATCCCCACCTCCAAGGAGAACTGTCTGTTCATGGAAATGTGGTATTTACTTTGATTCCTCTTTGTGTGGGCAGCACTGCCCAGGTTTGCTAAGCCCCTCCCCAGACCTCAGTTCTATCCTGCCTGGGCGTCAAAGTCAGATGGGGAATCATATTTTAAAAATACAACAGATCCTTGGCCCTACCCCTGATGTACTGAGTCAGATCGCTAGAAGTGGGGCCTGAGAATCTGTATTTTTAGCAATTTTATGACGAGTACGAGGCTGCTAGGCTGGCACCATTCTAAAGCCTGGCCTTCTGGATCCATGGGTGCTATGGGCTTTGTAGGACAGTGAAAACTCATCCAGCGGCAGGTTCTCAGGAAGGATTAATGGTAGGAGGCTGGGGAGCACTGAGCCAGGTTGCAATCTCTTTATTCCTGTAAGCCTCCAGAGTGATCTTTCTCAAACTTCTCTCTGACCTCATCACACCCTGCTTAAACCCTCTGATGGCTGCCCTGCTTACGGGGAAGAGCCTGGCCTCCCCCACAACAGTTACAGACTCTCACAGTATGGCCTTGTTGCCCTTCTCACAGGATGGCCATGGCGCCTCATGCACAGTCTAGTCCTCCCTTGCCTCAAAGGATGGCCCTAAGGCCTCCTCTGCAGGCTCTTCCCCCTCTCCCAGGATGGCCCTGAACCCTCCTCTGCAGTCTAGTACCCACGACAGGATGGTCTTGACACCTCCCCTTCAGTCTAGTGTCTCCCTCACAGAATGGCGCTGAGGTCTCCTCTGTAGTCTAGCTGCCCTTCTCGTGGTGGGGCTCCTATCTCTTTTCACCATCTCCCTTTTCCCCTCTTGCAATATGGTCCAGCCCCTCCTCAGGCACCCAGTCCCCCATGGCAGCCTTCCCTGCCACGTTCCAGCCACCCATAGGGAGAGCTCCTTTCAGGTCATGGCCTTTTCCTCGGGTCATTCCTCCAGGCCCCCTCGGCCTTGAATGATCTGTCTTCCTTTTCCGTGCCTGGTTAACTCCAGCATGTTCTTCAAGATCTATTTCCAATACCTCTTCCTCTAGAGAACTTTCTCTGACAGGCAGCAGCAGTCCCCCCCACAACCCCTCCACAACAGCCCTGTTGCCACTCTGCGTTGTCTCCCTGAGCAGACTCTGAGGAGTCACCCCTCGTTCATAAATACATTGTGTAACAACAAAGGTAACAGGCTGGGCGCCGTGGCTCATGCCTGTAATCTCAGCACTTTGGGAGGCTAAGGTGGGCAGATCATTTGAGGTCAGGGGCTCGAGACCAGTCTGACCAACATGGCGAAACCCCATCTCTACTAATGTACAAAAATTAGCCGGGCGTGGTGGCAGGTGTCTGTAATCTCAGCTACTTGGGAGGCTGAGGCAGGAGAATCACTTGAACCCAGGAGGTGGAGGCTGCAGTGAGCCAAGATTGCACCACTGCACTCCAGCCTGGGTGACAGAGAGAGACTGCCTCTAAAAAAAATAAAAATAAAAACAAAGGTAACAGATACTCCAAACTCATCACTTTCTAACTGTTTTACTTATTGTATTAGTACCTATTCTCTTGAGCTGATTTCTACTTTATCCATATAGAGGAAACACTCTACAGTGGTGTGCTATTGATCACCTCTTCCCATCTCCACATTCATCATGGTATCATCATATCGTGGTAGCCTGAAATTACCCATCGTGAGAATGTTGACACCATGGAATTGGGCAATTCCTTCAAACTGTTTTTGTCCCTCTGCAGGGAGTTGTTAAGCATTTATCAGCACAGCCCTAGGTTCATGCTGCATCAATGGTGCTGAGGCAAAAGCCTGGCAGAAACTGGGAGCTGGCCTAGGAAACTGTCTTACCTGCCTTGCAGAGAAGTTCTTTTATACTTCAAGAGATTGCAAAAGAGTGCATAGGTAAGGAAGAGAAGCCAGGTCATCTACTTCCTGAACAAATAAGTGACATCTCTTTTTGATGAGAAATAATGATAATCTTTTTTTTTTTTTTTTTTTTTTTAAGATGGAGTTTCGCTCTTGTTGCCCAGGCTGGAGTGCAATGGCACGATCTCGGCTCACTGCAACCTCCACTTCCTGGGTTCAAGCGATTCTCTTGCCTCAGCCTCCCAAGTAGCTGGGATTACAAGCATGTGCCACCATGCTCGGCTAATTTTGTATTTTTAGTAGAGATGAGGTTTCACCATGTTGGCCAGGCTGGTCTCAAACTCCTGGCCTCAGGTGATCCACCTGCCTCAGCTTCACAAAGTGCTGGGATTACAGGCGTGAGCCACAATGCCTGGCTGAGAAATAATGATAAAATGCAGTGGATCTGAGAGACAATCTTAGGAAATACAGCAGGGAACTAGAGCTCTTCCACAGCATTCCTTGGTTTCAGGAAAATTTCAGATACAAAGAAAGCTTCTTTGTTTAGTATTTATGAAAGATCAATTGTTTACTAGGAAATAAACAGAGAAATAGCTCTCATCCACTTGAGCTGAAGCCTCGGCTCAATTCAATTCACCACCTCCCTTTAGGCTGCCCTTACCTACAAGGCCAGTGAAAGGGGCCTGT